>NC_000010.11:53779458-53930974 GCF_000001405.40 Homo sapiens
CTGTTCTTTTAAGATGAACGGCCTAATATAAAAGTGCAGGTGAGAGGCGACTTGGAGGAATGGAAACTCACATCAACACTGGAAACTGAAGGAAATAGCAATCTCCCAGAAATTTTGTCTAATTTTTCCATGATACAGTGTGGGAAGAAATCTCTCAGAGTGGACTACAAGACAGCGGGATATATCTACATACAGACAATTGCAGAGGACAAAAAATACTCAACTCAGATGCTCCAGCTGTAGGGATGATAAAGTTGTGTTGTCTACCAACTTCTCCCTATGCCATTGGGTAGCTAAAGACATTGTTAAAGAAAAGACAAAAAAGGGACTTACAACTATTTCATTTTTAAGCATTTCTCATTGTGTAATGGAAAGCCTGTGTATAATAGACATTGTGTAATGAAAAGCCTGGTGTATAATAGATGATAATAGACTAATAAATGTGTACTGTTAATCTCCCAATTTGTAGCCTGATTGTCCAGCTTGAAATAAAAAAGATCAAGTTTACTTCGCCATTGAGTCCATAGGAGACATATAAACTTCAAGCTTGTCAGCAGATCTAGGAATTACCACTTTTCCTTCCCTGGGCTTATTTCTGCCAGCTTATGTGTGAATGCATAATCCAACACTGCGAATCCCAATTGCCATAAAGTAATTTATAAAATTGCTTCATCGAAGATTTATATGTTGATTGCCATAATCCTACTTGATGGTGTGTGAAAAGATATACCTAACAAGTCTCTTAAAGACATGTAAGTGCCCAAATGCAAAAGGAATAGATAAAATGTAGACAGTAGCTTTATTTACATTTCATGAGGCCAACCTTGTCATAACTAACCTCTGTAAAGTAGGCTGTCCTTTCCCAGGCAGTCTAGGTGTTGTTAGGGGTTGTTCTTACATCTTACACCTTAAAAATCTCTGAATCAGAATGCCCGTTAATGAGCTACAGGCACTCAGTGCTAACATACATGCTAGCTACAAGGCCTAATGTTACCGACACTCTTATTGGATGAGTAGGGTTCTCATGAGATTTTAATTTCTATAACATTTAGAAGGAAAACATGACAATGAAAAAATGTTAAAAAATAATATGAGGAAGATAATAAATATAAAACCATTACTCATTTGAAAGTTCAATTCATTGACCAATATTATTATTATTTTCAAGATGGTTAATAGCAATTTGAAATGTTAGTTTTAACTGATGAATGAGCATCAATTCAAAGACTTACAGAAATTTATTGAAGTGGGTACAATAAAACTTTTCTACAGACTATATTTACATATATTATTAATAAATACCCAATGTATTTTTATTATTTTCCTTATCAGCTTAAAAGTCTGGCACCCAACAATGACCAAAGTATATAGGACTGGGCCTGTGCATAATGAATCCCTAGCTGAAAATCCATTTAGAGCAGGAGTTGCACCGATATTACAAAGTGCCTGGAATGCAGACTCTCCTATCATATACCTATGAGGTCTCTTTGAAAGATATTCCTTCCCCACGCTGGCCCAAGGCCACATATCTCTATCTCTATTAGCAAAATGAGTCAGAACATGTGCTTCTAAATCCCTGCTTCACCTCTTAGCAGATATGTAATATTGCATGAGGAACATACCCTTCTGTGCCTCTCTTAACACACATTTGTAAAACAGAAATAACAAAGATAGCATTTTCCTAGAGTTGTAAAGATCGTATAATTTAATGTACTATGACTGTCAACTTATACGTCCAATAAGTGATAACTTTTTTTTTTTTTGAGACTGAGTCTCACTCTGTCGCCCAGGCTGGAGTGCAGTGGTGCGATCTCGGATCACCGCAAGCTCCGCCTCCCGAGTTCACCGCCGTTCTCCTGCCTCAGCCTCCTGAGTAGCTGGGACTACAGGCGCCCGCCACAAAGCCAGGCTAAATTTTTTTTTTTCCCAGTAGAGACGGGGTTTCACCTGTTAGCCAGGATGGTCTCGATCTCCTGATCTCATGATCCGCCTGCCTCGGCCTCCCAAAGTGCTGGGATTATAGGTGTGAGCCACCGCGCCCGACCAGTGATAGCTATTGTTATGAGTGGTGAGTTAGCCTACTGAAGAACCAAAACTATAATTAACATTGAAGCAGTAGAACTTGGGGGTCAGAATGGAAAAGAAAGGCAGGACCTGCAACACTCATGGACAAATAACAAAAAAGACCAGTAAGGGGAGGTACTATTCCAGAATATTTCAAAAGGTAGGTTATGCGTGTCGAGTACTCGTGAGTGGAGAGGGAATAAATAAGAGAAGCCATTGGAACAGGGTAATCATGGAAGAGATGATGTACTGTAATAGATGTGGGTAGATCAATACATTGCTGAAAACTAATAAATATGCTATCAGACTTCAGAATTTTGCTGGAATCTCTACCCATGTATTCTGTTTAAAGGTGTGGTATCCACGAAGCCACCTGAATAACCACCTTGCTGCCATAAGTGAGATGGTTCTAAGTACCACTTTCAAAGACTCACCTCTTCCCCATCAAATACTTAGCAAATATTTACAAAAGAAAAAAAAAAAGGAATGTTTTAAAGCTACAGTATTTACTGTTACAAGTGAGTTCATCATCAGCTGTGAGTCTGTTCTTGTCAAGACAATAATGGGTATGGCTCAGAGGTTAGTGTGATTCTTTGTGTGAGAGAAGGATCATTCAAAAATCAATTGATTATTTTTAGTAAAATATATGTTCAATTGCATTATTCTCAGCAAAGAAAGCTCGGCACTTGATCAAATACCCATCATATTTTTGGCACTTTACCTGTAAATCTATCTTCCCGCACCACCTAAGTGATGTATCTCAGTTGGTAAATAAGCATGTTATTCAAGTTAATTGGATTTTGGGGTGCGATTGGTGAGGGTGGAAAGTATCCTAATTTTAAAAATATCTATGAAAGTGAATAAAAATAGCAGGTCAATTCCTTAAAATGAAACAATAGGTAGAAAGAGAAAAAAAAAAACTAGCAGAATGTGGTTTTGAAGTTTTCACAGAAAAAGCTCTTCAGCTCTTTGTCACACCAACTCAACATTCACAATTTTATATGTTTTTTGAAAGTACTTTTTTTTAATGGGGAGGGAATTACTGTGATTATTAGGGACATTTATATAAGAATTTTGTTTAGGGTACATAAGTCCAAGGGGATAACTAACAATGTGAGATCCAGTAATATATTTGGAAATAGAATAGGAATGCAAAAACAGACAACAAACGTAGCAAACTTCACACAGATGACAATATTGAAAGGCACCTTGAAGTTAGTCAGAAGCTTCTATATGAATATCAGAGTCGAGCCAGAAAAGCCTCTTAACTCCAAATTTATCTTTACATCATTTCAGTTATTTGTTTTCAGAAAACGTCCAATGTGTATAAACTGAATCTATTTTGTGAAATCCTATCATCAACATTTTTAAGTGCAGATTCCTCTCTTTAGTGTTTGTGGTTTCATTCTCTGAGTTCCTAGCACAAAATCATGTGTGCCTGATTGCTTTATAACTGGCAGACCCTCTAGATTTACCAGCCCTCTAGCTGTCCTGCAGCCTCCAGCCCCCACGACCTAGTGAACTGCACTTTCTTCTGAAGAGTGGAATTCATAATCTTTTCCTTCCACCCACACCAGAAAGGACACAAAACTGTATATAGTCTCTATTTTAATCGAAGTGGAGCTTTCAAATGAAAGAATAACATCATGTCCATTTATCTCTTCATTTGAATGTCCTCATTCTGGCATTATAGAGGTGAAAACTTTGACATCAGAAAAGCCTTTAGACATGTGCAAGGTGGGAAGTCTACTTTGACATGCTCCCTTCAAAATGTCCTGTCTCCCTCTGGCACCAAGAAGTAGCAGGGCCATTCTGGCATGAAACCCTGAGTCTGGACCAGAACCCACAGGAACGGAGATCCCATTTCTCTCTTTCAGGGAACACTCGAGTCTATCCTACCACTATATGGGGTTGACCAGATGCCCCCAAAAACTCTAGAATGCAGTGCACACCCATGACAGATTTTTCCCATGGGCCAGCATCACATTGCTTTTGAAGAATCTCAGGATATTAGGTATATAGAATATATACCAACAGACTAATTAAAGTGAGTGACCAAAGACTTATGTGAGTGATTCCAATTATTTACGTAGATAAGAGCGCCAAAATAAATACGTTCTTGAAGCACCACCACACAACCTAGGGAAGGCTCTGCTTGAGATAACATAGACCTAATTCCTTTTTTTTTTTAATCTAATAAACTATGGCCTGAGGAAATAAACATACCCCTCAAGGTCATGGAGCAAATGTAGAAATATAGAGCCTGGAATAAGACTATAGGCTCTCAACAAAAGTTGGTATTCTTCCCAGTAAGCCACACTGAAGCATTGTTGTGTCTCTCACTATTGTAGATATTAAAGTCATATCTCTAAAAGGATATTTCAGATGTATTATGAATCTAATTTTTATGACTAAAATAAAATTTAGGAGAATATTTGTTTGACTTTGGGATAAGGGAAACCTTCTGAAGCAAAGACAAAAAATTAAGAGGAAATAAATATGTTTAAAAATTATGCCTTTTACAATTGCATGGTCAAAGGGTTCATAAACAAAATCAAAATATACATTGTACATCGGAATCAGTATTTACAACACCCATGACAATGATTTAGCATTCTCAATATTATGTGTGTGTGTGTGTGTGTGTGTATATATATATATATATAGTCGCCATGTCGCCCAGGCTGGAGTGCAATGGAGAGATCTCGGCTCACTGCAACTTCCGCCTCCTAGGTTCAAGCAACTCTCCTGCCTCAGCGTCCCGAGTAGCTGGGATTATAGGTACACACCACCACACCCAGCTAATTTTCTGTATCTTAAGTAGAGATGGGGTTTCACCATGTTGGCCAGGCTGGTCTCAAACTCCTGACCTTGTGATCCACCCGCATCGGCCTCCCAAAGTGCTGGGATTACAGGCATGAGCCACCATGCCCCACCCAAAATATGTTTTTAATAATAGAACAAAGAAACCTAACATAAATTAGGCAAAGTATATAAATAGAAAAATTACAGATGCAAATAGCTAGTGAGGACATGAAAAAAAATGCTCAACCTCATTAATAAACAAGGAAATATAAAACTAAAACCGGCTGGGCGCGGTGGCTCACACCTGTAATCCCAGCACTTTGAGAGGCCGAGGCGGGCGGATCATGAGGTCAAGAGATCAGGACCATCCTGGCTAACATGGTGAAACCCGTCTCTACTAAAAATACAAAAAAATTAGCCGGGTGTGGTGGCGGGCGCCTGTAGTCCCAGCTACTTGGGAAGCTGAGGCAGGAGAACGGCGTGAACCTGGGAGGCAGAGCTTGGCATCTCAGTGGAGCTGAGATCACGCCACTGCACTCCAGCCTGGGCGACAGACCAAGACTCCGTCTCAGAACAAACAAACAATAAAACTAAAACCATAAGATATTTTCATTTTCTCCTATTATACTAACAAAACTTTAAGAATTTTGATAATATTAAAGTTTTGGAGGATATGGGGAATTAGAATATTCAGACACTGCTGATGAGTACGGGGGGATGAGCTAACTAAATAAATTAGTAAAGTTGCTGCGAGAATAAATATAAAATCATTTCTATTTTGTTATAGGAAAGAAAACCAAGCTTCCAAAAACAAAAGAGTTGTTTACTTATGCAAACATATAAATGCAAATACTCAAAAACAGTAAAAATGTTAGCATTGAATCAAAGCATCTTCTATCATGAATACAATTTCTTTCCTAATCTTATTTTATTGTTACTTTTGCTAGTGTGGGAATGTTGTTTTCTTTTTAGTTAGGCTGCCCTGAGATTTTTGTGCAAAATATGAATTTGTGTCAATTATTTATGTTTTTTCTAAGTTATTTTTTATGACTTAAATGTCCCTGATGGTATGTTTAGCACCTTTTAAATTAGTCATGCTACCTATTTTATTAAAGGCCAGGTTTTTCTCTCTTCCAGATCATTAATTAGAATATTAAATATGTTCATTTCCAGAGCAATGCTCCCTGAGGCACCCATTAGCACCTTTGTTCTATGAAAGTAGAATTATAATGAATAAAATTATAAACAATAGGCCCAATTTTATTTTCTATTCAGGAGAAAAATGACAAAAATTTAAAAATCTAGATAATTCTGTCTGCTCACTATGTTTACCATAAATTATACATACATAATTATATATAACATTGAGGGGGAAATTTGATAGCTAAACTATCATCACATAAAGGATTCTCAAAAAACTTAGGCCTTATTTTTAAGCTACATTACAATTTGTTGGCTAGGTCAATTTTTTCAGTGATATTAACATATTTAAGCTTCTTTGATTATCAAAAACAATATCAACTGTTGTAGAAATTTGAAAAGTTACTAAATATAGAAATAGCAAATGAAAAGTGAAACTACTGCAAACCTATGCAGAAAATTATTAAGTTCCTGTAAAAATGATTACTACTTGGTTGAAAAAGCATTTAGTAGAAATACTTCACTATTAATTACTTTTCAACACAATCCACATAGCACACCTGATATTCATCTTTGGGTGGCATAGCATTTTAAAACAAAGATATCAGAATCAAGTTTGACCTCATGCTGGTGCCATGATAATCCTATTATTATATACTTCAAGGGATCAGAATAAGGTGGAATTGACTAGTAAAAGGTCAAGAAAACTCCAACAAATATAATAGCAGATGAAATTTATAATACAATAGCAGATATGTTAAATGCATCACAGTATATAATAGACACTACTCCTAGAGGTGAGACAGAACACCCAAGGAAGACCCCCCCTCCTCAGTCCTGAGATCCAGGTCATGTTGGGTAAGGCAGGATCTTGGCTCCCTAATGACGAAGAACACATATGATGGCACATTGTCAATACCTGCTAGAGATTTGCGATCTGAAACTCGCTGTTTAATCTTCCCTCTAGGGGGCGCTGGCAAAAGCTATTCACAAGGAGGCGTCTCATTGGAAGCACTCTGTTTTAAAATAAGTTTAGAGGGGACACTGGAGGAATGCAAGGTCCTGATGACTGTTTTCTTGGGCCATTTCCAAGGGTTGGGGTGCAGGGAACAATTTTGAGGGATGTTCAGGAACTTTGGAGGATTTCCTTTCTCAATAATATATTCCTGTGCCTTCCTAGTGTGTTCTTGGCTGAAAACAAAAACCAAGGATTATGCCACTCCACTGGCCATTCTAATTAATCTGACTGACAGAGGCTAGGACTAAATATTTCTGATAGCATTTAATTAAGGCTACTCTCAACTGAATTCCATCCATCATGATGAGGCCAACCTGTAGTTTTGCCTGCAATTACGCGCCACCCGCAAGGAAGCTAGACTTAGCCAACTGTGAATAAATTTCAGAAGGGATCAGGAGGTCTCATCTTAGATAGCAAAGACATCGTTTAAACCCAGACTATATCAATCGTGACCTGTGCAAAGAAATTTAGGTTAACCTGCCAAACTTTGGTGTCACTGACAACAATTAAGAGGACAATAAATGGGCCACAAAGAATCCCTGTTTAAGGGAGTGATTCTGTGGCTGCCAATTGACCCACATAGAAACACAGAACAAAAAGGAGCACAAGTAACTGGGATTTGTTGCAAAATGTGATTTGGACCACCATCACACTGGATTGGTGAAAAAACATAGGCAGTATCACCAGGAGGTTGCAGACTTCACTGTCAGTTATTGTTTTAGGAAGAGCAGAAAAATTTAAGACCAGCTATGTTCACACACAATTTTCTGTTTTTGTGGCACATGGACAGACTACAATCCCAGCAGCAAGTCACACTGGCAGATGGAGTTGCAGTTTGATTAGGCAGTGATGTCCATCCCAGTCCCCTTTTAACCCCTTGGATCTAATCTCAGGTACTAAAGTTGTTGCTCTCCCTGCACCATCACAAAATTGGTGTGTTCCTTTTTAGTACCGATAATTTCACTTTTCCTCTAGTTACCTCCTATTTGCACCGAGATTTTTCATCTGAAAGAGTCAGGAACAAGAAGGACAAGAGCATTTTTAATCCATATGAATGAATTAGAACTAAATTAGAATCTTCCAGGCTTCTTTTGTTCATGCTGCCATGCAAAATGTATAAAACCAAGCTGGCCTGAGGTTGACAATCCAAGAATTGTCAACACAAAATTCCAAAATTTAAAATAGATTTATGTGTCCCCTACCACAGCTCTTTTGTTCTATTTTTCAGAAAACAGCCAAGAGATGTTGATACTTTTTAGGGAGGACAGCCATATTTAGTGACCAAACTATCTTATTAAAATATATGAACCAAGAGGAGATGAAAGAGGTAGAATTAGAAATATTTTTGAGTTGACTTTTCATGAGGTTATCCCAATGCTCAGCAATTCCAGATGTCTGTAGGTGACATGCACCATGCACTGTGGCCTCCTTTACCATGAGACAAATGGAGTAACTCTGGACAGGAGTCAGGTATAACATGTGTCTGTATCAGGAGTGCAACTTCTCAGAAAATGAATCATACCATGAGGATCTTACATTAGTTGGCCAGGCAATCTGATCAGTGGTACCATTGCTTCCACAATTTGGGGCCCCACAGAGGGATGTCTTTTACCTTCTAGCCTATAATCTTCCTGCTGAAAAGTCAGCAAAAATAGTATAACCAGTCTTGTAAAGGAGAGCATTGGCTAGAGCTATGAGCGTGAAATTAAGTTCTGCCCACTGAATTGAGTGCTTACCTTAATTTTCAATTCTGCATAGCTGTCACTGAATGTGGACAGTACACCAGCCCAGTGGACAAAATTGGGTTTTTAACTCAGCCAAACTTCAGTAAACCATGTCTGTCCACATATTTAGGGGAATCTATGTGAACTGAGGGCTTAACACAGCCAGGGGCTTCATTTCCTGTGGGAGAAGGAGATAAGATTTCCCACAAGGAGGTAGTTGACACTCCTTTGTGTAAAACTAAGATGGCACTAGGACCTTGTAATTGGGTATACCATGTTCACTTGACTAAGCAAGGCCGACTGGGCCATTTCTTTGCTAGTCATCAATTCTGTGTGGAGATATTAAGACAGAAAGCAACAAGGCATTTGCAAGGCAGGTGAAAGAAAGAAGAAAGAAAGGAAGGTAGGAAGGAAGGAAGGGAGAAAGAGAGAAAGGAAGGAAGGAGGGAAGGAAGGAAGGAGAAGAAAGAGAAAGAGGAAGAAGAAAGAAAGGAAAAGGAAGAAAGAAAGAAAATGAAAGAGAAAGAAGGAAGGAAGAAAAGGAAGGAAAGAAGAAAGGGAGGAAGGAAGGAAATGGACAGATAACACATCGTACCTACATCAGGCTGGCAGCACTGCTGTAACTGAAAAATAACCTTTGAAAACTCAGGAGCTACCAAGTCTTCAATAAAAGTTGTTCTTTCCTTTTTCTTGTGGGATTCTCTATTGTTTTGTTAGACTGCATGAAAGAGAGCAAGGATCACCTCTCCACATGCACAGTCCCTGAACAGAACTATCTCCTTTGATTCTTTATGAATATGTACAGTAGAATCACAATAAGGCACATTAATATCAATTATTTGTTTCTGCACAATAATGTATTGAATTGACCTAGAGGCCTCCATCCACCCATCAGTTGGACTCAGGCACTATTTCTTTTTTTCTAATGGGGATTTATATGCCCCTTGTATCAGGGGGCTGAAATAGTTGCCAAGATAATATGCTATGCCCTGGCTTAGCAAGAAGAATATAAGCAGAGGCTACTGAATGAGGGTTGGTTGGTGGAGGGGGAGATTAGCCTCAGAAAGATGGCTGGGGCTTAAAAGGCTTTTTTGGTCCCCCTGGGTGGATGCCACCTCATGCCTGGTATACCTTCAAACTCTTTCAAGTGTCGTGGCCCAGAGGTCTCTTTTTTAACCTCCTTTTCCCAATGTATATTCTCTTCCTTGCAACCTGCAGTGCCAACCCTGAGAACACAGAGGCTGTGGAGATTTTTTAATTTTGTCAAATGCAAGTATGAAAGTGAAGGATGCTTTGATCATTGCATTATCAATTTAATACCACTGAGTTATCTATGATCCTGGCCTACAGGGGTCTTTGGCTTAAATGAAATTTTTCTGCTTCTACGCAGCACGCTAGGCATGAGAAACTTCAATTCTTGATGAGAATTTGAGACTAGAAATTTCTAAGGCAAAATCTTTTTTAATTAATAGAAATTATGATTGCCCAACTAAAGACTGAGCAAAATCTCTCAAATGTTCTCCTATCTTACACTCTCTGGAAAGATAGTTTCTGGTATTTTTGGAGGAAACCTGTCTATATATTAATATATGTCTAGAAAGATAGGTTGAGCTATATTTTAGAAGTTGTTAAATACTACAGGATATTGGGTTGTATTCTTAAAACTATGAGAAAAAAAGAAAGCCTTTAACAATGACTTTAGATGATACATTTATATTCCATTAAGATTACTCTAGCAGCATTAGAGCTCATTTTTTAATAAATAAAAAGGCTAGGATAAAGAATCTCCATTAAAAACCCATTAGAATAACCTTGAGCAGATATGTTGAAGTCTTAGGCCGGGGATGTAACTGTAGAAATGGAAAAATTACTCCTCTGGGGGGTAAATTAAAGAAAGATAAACAGGGCAAGCTGCCTGTTAATGGCATGGGAAAGGAGGTAAAGCAGAAGAAGCAGTGTGAGAAAAGTGTGGATGCCTTAGAGGAGGGTGGAGCCATTAAAAGGACTAGGATACAAGTGAGCGACAACCTACTTGACAGGATTTGAGAGAAAGGGATAAAATAGACTGCGCTGAATTTGAAGTTTCTGTGCAACTTTAAGAGGAAATGCCAATTGGTGGAGTGACTACATAATTTATCTACCATTCAAATGAGTATATTTTAAAGTGAAATGAATGCTTGTACGTAGTTATTAATAGCAATTGACATAAATTCAGACTATCCCAAGTGAGTTGGGATAGATTGCCAGCCCACATTGGGCGCTATATGGCAGTTGATCTCAGGAGAGAGATTCTAGTTGACATTTTTAACAATAGCGGTACATGTTAATAACACCCCAGAAAAATGTGTGGCGATGGATTTGCGTTTGTCTTTATTTACAGCAATTGGCATATCACTTCACGGTTTATTAAGAGTTTTATTGGATATCACCAGATTTGATAACTGAAACCTAAAAAGCAGGGAGGGAGGTCCCATCCTGCACTGGTAAAATATATCTGTTTCTTCTTATATCCTTCAAAATATTTAATACTATTTGAATACTGCAGTAAACTATAAGCTCCATGGAGGTTTTTCTTGTTCCAGCTAAAGCTATATATACCCCAAGAAGTAAATACAAAATTCACTGTGACAAATGTATCATTTTGGAAGTTGTTAGGATGTAAATTATCTGACTCTCAGGAAAACATTTTGGTTCATGTTAATTGTGTCTTTGAGTCTACTTTCTGAGATGTGTTCTCTGAAGGAGAAAGAGAAAAGATTGTGGGAATAAAAGCAGGAAGAAACCTATAATTATATTGTATCATGATATCAAATAGAATTAAAAATTTGAACATGTATAAGGACCCTCAGATAATTATAACACAGTAATCTAATCTTTGAAAGTCTTCAAATCTATTTCTCAGAAACAAATAGAATGAAAAGCAGCTATCCTCTCTCCCAAGATTGCTATAGCAGACATGAGAAAGGGACAAGCGTCTTTATTTTTTTTTATAGCTGATTTAAACCTTGCCAAAATCCACTATCCAGATGCTCAGAGAAAAGATGTAAACATTTCAGTTAACAAGGTATCAATATTTTCTGGTTTAAACAGTCCACCTTTTAGTAAGTGCTTAGATATTCAGCTCCTCCCTCCCCACCTTTTGCAATCCAAGATGGTGTCTGAATATACTGCAGAGCTGCTCACTTTTTGCACATAATAATGTAGGAATAGGATCTTAAACGCAAGTGTAGTTATTTCTGCTCTTCAGGTTCTTGCTGGCTTCTGATGATACTTTCTGTGGTCCTCTGACCACTGTTCTACCTGCACACTTATGATGTTAAGGTCTTCAGAGAGTGAACTTGTGACATGTTCTTTCAGCTTGGTCTAGATACTGTGGTCTTCCCTGTTGACCCAGGATGGCTTCAGCTCCTGCTGGCAATAGTTATACCCTGGAAGTCTCTCTGAAACATTTGTCCATTCCCAATTTCTCCTTGTAACACTTGAGCCTTTCCATACAGACCTAACTCAAAGCCTACTAAGGTCGCACCTTGCACGTTCTCATCTCTTCCACATTCATGCATAGAATTTGTGAGAACATCTGTACAACTTCCATATAATGTGACATTGAGGGTAGACTCCCAGGAGCTAAACTCTGGCCTCTGTCTGCCTATCTAGCTACTGTTTATACACTGACTAGCTTGTCCAGGTTGGCATAACCACCCCCCTCCCACCCCACCCCACCCCACACACAAAGAAAATGTCCTCAATGTCTTAAACAGGGAATCAGATGAAAAACTCCTGTGTTTCACCATTCAGAGACTGGGGGACAGGGCGAAAAGGAGAGGGAAAATAACATTGCATACATGTCACCACCTTCTCCTTCTCACAATCTACCCAAAGATGGAATAAGCAGGTTTTCTGTTTCCTATTCCTGGCTACATGAGATTTCTCCTAAGTCTATCCCCCTTTTTTTTTTTTTTTTTCTTTTTTCTGAGTTGGAGTCTCACTCTGTCACCCAGGCTGAAGTGCAGTGGCATGAACAAGACTCACAGCAGCCTCCAATTTCTGGGCTCAAGGGATCCTCTCTCTTCAGCCTCCCTGGTATATGGGATTATAAGCCTGATCCACTGCACCCAAACCCCTTTCTTTCTTTTTTTTAAATTTATTATTATTATACTTTAAGTTTTAGGGTACATGTGCACAATGTGGAGGTTAGTTACATACGTATACATGTGCCATGCTGGTAAGCCGCACCCACTAACTCGTCATCTAGCATTAGGTATATCTCCCAGTGCTATCCCTCCCCCCTCCCCCCACCCCACAACAGTCCCCAGAGTGTGATGTTCCCCTTCCTGTGTCCATGTGTTCTCATTGTTCAATTCCCACCTATGAGTGAGAATATGCAGTGTTTGGTTTTTTGTTCTTGCGATAGTTTACTAAGAATGATGATTTCCAATTTCATCCATGTCCCTACAAAGGACATGAACTCATCATTTTTTGTGGCTGCATAGTATTCCATGGTGTATATGTGCCACATTTTCTTAATCCAGTCTATCATTGTTGGACATTTGAGTTGGTTCCAAGTCTTTGCTATTGTGAATAGTGCCACAGTAAACATACGTGTGCATGTGTTTTTTAGCAGCATGGTTTCTAGTCCTTTGGGTATATACCCAGTAATGGGATGGCTGGGTCAAATGGTATTTCTAGTTCTAGATCCCTGAGGAATCGCCACACTGACTTCCACAATGGTTGAACTAGTTTACAGTCCCACCAACAGTGTAAAAGTGCTCCTATTTCTCCACATCCTCTCCAGCACCTGTTGTTTCCTGACTTTTTCATGATTGCTATTCTAACTAGTGTGAGATGGTATCTCATTATGGTTTTGATTTGCATTTGTCTGATGGCCAGTGATGGTGAGCATTTTTTCATGTGTTTTTTTGGCTGCATAAATGTCTTCTTTTGAGAAGTGTCTGTTCATATCCTTTGCCCACTTTTTGATGGGGTTGTTTGTTTTTTTCTTGTAAATTTGTTTGAGTTCATTGTAGATTCTGGATATTAGCCTTTGTCAGATGAGTAGGTTGCGAAAATTTTCTCCCATTTTGTAGGTTGCCTGTTCACTCTGATGGTAGTTTCTTTTGCTGTGCAAAAGCTCTTTAGTTTAATTAGATCCCATTTGTCAATTTTGGCTTTTGTTGCCATTGCTTTTGGTGTTTTAGACATGAAGTCCTTGCCCATGCCTATGTCCTGAATGGTAATGCCTAGGTTTTCTTCTAGGGTTTTTATGGTTTTAGGTCTAACGTTTAAATCTCTAATCCATCTTGAATTGATTTTTGTGTAAGGTGTAAGGAAGGGATCCAGTTTCAGCTTTCTCCATATGGCTAGCCAGTTTTCCCAGCCCCATTTATTAAATAGGGAATCCTTTCCCCATTGCTTGTTTTTCTCAGGTTTGTCAAAGATCAGATAGTTGTAGATATGCGGCGTTATTTCTGAGGGCTCTGTTCTGTTCCATTGATCTATATCTGTTTTGGTACCAGTACCATGCTGTTTTGGTTACCGTAGCCTTGTAGTATAGTTTGAAGTCAGGGAGTGTGATGCCTCCAGCTTTGTTCTTTTGGCTTAGGATTGACTTGGCGATGTGGGCTCTATTTTGGTTCCATATGAACTTTAAAGTAGTTTTTTCCAATTCTGTGAAGAAAGTCATTGGTAGCTTGATGGGGATGGCATTGAATCTGTAAATTACCTTGGGCAGTATGGCCATTTTCACGATATTGATTCTTCCTACCCATGAGCATGGAATGTTCTTCCATTTGTTTGTATCCTCTTTTATTTCCTTGAGCAGTGGTTTGTAGTTCTCCTTGAAGAGTTCCTTCACATCCCTTGTAAGTTGGATTCCTAGGTATTTTATTCTCTTTGAAGCAATTGTGAATGGGAGTTCACTCATGATTTGGCTCTCTGTTTGTCTGTTATTGGTGTATAAGAATGCTTGTGAGTTTTGTACATTGATTTTGTATCCTGAGACTTTGCTGAAGTTGCTTATCAGCTTAAGGAGATTTTGGGCTGAGACAGTGGGGTTTTCTAGATATACAATCATGTTATCTGCAAACAGGGACAATTTGACTTCCTCTTTTCCTAATTGAATACCCTTTATTTCCTCCTCCTGCCTAATTGCCCTGGCCAGAACTTCCAACACTATGTTGAATAGGAGTGGTGAGAGAGGGCATCCCTGTCTTGTGCCCGTTTTCAAAGGGAATGCTTCCAGTTTTTGCCCATTCAGTATGATATTGGCTGTGGGTTTGTCATAGATAGCTCTTATTATTTTGAGATACGTCCCATCAATACCTAATTTATTGAGAGTTTTTAGCATGAAGGGTTGTTGAATTTTGTCAAATGCCTTTTCTGCATCTATTGAGATAATCATGTGGTTTTTGTCTTTGGTTCTGTTTATATGCTGGATTACATTTATTGATTTGTGTATATTGAACCAGCCTTGCATCCCAGGGATGAAGCCCACTTGATCATGGTGGATAAGCTTTTTGATGTGCTGCTGGATTCGGTTTGCCAGTATTTTATTGAGGATTTTTGCATCAGTGTTCATCAAGGATATTGGTCTAAAATTCTCTTTTTTGGTTGTGTCTCTGCCCCGCTTTGGTATCAGGATGATGCTGGCCTCATCAAATGAGTTAGGGAGGATTCCCTCTTTTTCTGTTGATTGGAATAGTTTCAGAAGGAATGGTACCAGTTCCTCCTTGTACCTCTGGTAGAATTCGGCTGTGAATCCATCTGGTCCTGGACTCTTTTTGTCTGGTAAGCTATTGATTATTGCCACAATTTCAGCTCCTGTTATTGGTCTATTCAGAGATTCAACTTCTTCCTGGTTTAGTCTTGGGAGAGTGTATGTGTCGAGGAATTTATCCATTTATTCTAGATTTTCTAGTTTATTTGCGTAGAGGTGTTTGTCGTATTCTCTGATGGTAGTTTGTATTTCTGTGGGATCGGTGGTGATATCCCCTTTATCATTTTTTATTGTGTCTATTTGATTCTTCTCTCTTTTTTTCTTTATTAGTCTTGGTAGTGGTCTATCAATTTTGTTGATCCTTTCAAAAAACCAGCTCCTGGATTCATTAATTTTTTGAAGGGTTTTTTGTGTCTCTATTTCCTTCAGTTCTGCTCTGATTTTAGTTACTTCTTGCCTTCTGCTAGCTTTTGAATGTGTTTGCTCTTGCTTTTCTAGTTCTTTTAATTGTGATGTTAGGGTGTCAATTTTGGATCTTTCCTGCTTTCTCTTGTGGGCATTTAGTGCTATAAATTTCCCCCTACACACTGCTTTGAATGCGTCCCAGAGATTCTGGTATGTTGTGTCTTTGTTCTCGTTGGTTTCAAAGAACATCTTTGTTTCTGCCTTCATTTCATTATGTACCCAGTAGTCATTCAGGAGCAGGTTGTTCAGTTTCTATGTAGTTGAGCGGTTTTGAGTGAGATTCTTAATCCTGAGTTCTAGTTTGATTGCACTGTGGTCTGAGAGATAGTTTGTTATAATTTCTGTTCTTTTACATTTGCTGAGGAGAGCTTTACTTCCAATTATGTGATCAATTTTGGAGTAGGTGTGGTGTGGTGCTGAAAAAAAATGTATATTCTGTTGATGTGGGGTGGAGACTTCTGTAGATGTCTATTAGGTCTGCTTGGTGCAGAGCTGAGTTCAATTCCTGGGTATCCTTGTTGACTTTCTGTCTCATTGATCTGTCAAATGTTGACAGTGGGGTGTTAAAGTCTCCCATTATTAATGTGTGAGAGTCTGAGTCTCTTTGTAGTTCACTCAGGACTTGCTTTATGAATCTGGGTGCTCCTGTATTGGGTGCATATATATTTAGGATAGTTAGCTCTTCTTGTTGAATTGAACCCTTTACCATTATGTAATGCCCTTCTTTGTCTCTTTTGATCTTTGTTGGTTTAAAGTCTGTTTTATCAGAGACTAGGATTGCAACCACTATTTTTTTTTTCCATTTGCTTGGTAGATCTTCCTCCATACCTTTATTTTGAGCCTATCTCTGTCTCTGCATGTGAGATGTGTCTCCTGAATACAGCTCACTGATGGGTCTTGACTCTATCCAATTTGCCAGTCTGTGTCTTTTAATTGGAGCATTTATCACATTTACATTTAAAGTTAATATTGTTATGTGTGAATTTGATCCTGTCATTATGATGTTAGCTGGTTATTTTGCTCGTTAGTTCATGCAGTTTCTTCCTAGTCTCGATGGTTTTTACACTTTGGCATGTTTTTGCAGCAGCTGGTACCGGTTGTTCCTTTCCATGTTTAGCGCTTCCTTCAGGAGCTCTTTTAGGGCAGGCCTGGTGGTGACAAAATCTCTCAGCATTTGCTTGTCTGTAAAGTATTTTATTTCTCCTTCAATTATGAAGCTTAGTTTGGCTGGATATGAAGTTCTGGGTTGAAAATTCTTTTCTTTAAGAATGTAGAATATTGGCCCCCACTCTCTTCTGGCTTGTAGAGTTTCTGCTGAGAGATCCGCTGTTAGTCTGATGGGCTTCCCTTTGTGGGTAACCCGACCTTTGTCTCTGGCTGTCCTTAACATTTTTTCCTTCATTTCAACTTTGGTGAATCTGACAATTATGTGTCTTGGAGTTGCTCTTCTCGAGGAGTATCTTTGTGGCATTCTCTGTATTTCCTGAATCTGAATGTTGGCCTGCCTTGCTAGATTGGGGAAGTTCCCCTGGATAATATCCTGCAGAGTGTTTTCCAACTTGGTTCCATTCTCCCTGTCACTTTCAGGTACACCAGTCAGACGTAGATTTGGTCTTTTCACATAGTCCCATATTTCTTGGAGGCTTTGCTCGTTTCTTTTTATTCTTTTTTCTCTAAACTTCCCTTCTCGCTTCATTTCATTCACTTCATCTTCCATCGCTGATACCCTTTCTTCCAGTTGATCGCATCGGCTCCTGAGGCTTCTGCATTCTTCACGTAGTTCTCGAGCCTTGTCTTTCAGCTCCATCAGCTCCTTTAAGCACTTCTCTGGATTGGTTATTCTAGTTATACATTCTTCTAAACTTTTTTCAAAGTTTTCAACTTCTTTGCCTTTGGTTTGAATTTCCTCCTGTAGCTCGGAGTAATTTGATCGTCTGAAGCCTTCTTCTCTCAGCTCGTCAAAGTCATTCTCCGTCTAGCTTTGTTCCATTGCTGGTGAGGAACTGCGTTCCTTTGGAGGAGGAGAGGCACTCTCCTTTTTAGAGTTTCCAGTTTTTCTGCTCTGTTTTTTCCCCATCTTTGTGGTTTTATCTACTTTTGGTGTTTGATGATGGTGATGTACAGATGGGTTTTTGGTGTGGATGTCCTTTCTGTTTGTTAGTTTTCCTTCTAACAGATAGGACCCTCAGCTGCAGGACTGTTGGAGTACCCGGCCGTGTGAGGTGTCAGTCTGCTCCTGCTGAGGGGTGCCTCCCAGTTAGGCTGCTCGGGGGTCAGGGGTCAGGGACCCACTTGAGGAAACAGTCTGCCCGTTCTCAGATCTCCAGCTGCGTGCTGGGAGAACCACTGCTCTCTTCGAAGCTCAGATGGAAATGCAGAAATCACCCGTCTTCTGCGTCGCTCACGCTAGGAGCTGTAGACCGGAGCTGTTCCTCTTGGGCCATCTTGGCTCCTCCACCCCTTTCTTTCGTGAAGTGATTTTCCCCCTGCACACTTATGTAGTGTCTATTATATGCAAGAGTTGTTCTAAAAGCTTTACAAAAATTAACTAATTTAATCCTCATAATAGCCCATAGGATAAATACTATTATTTTTCTCATTTTACAGATAAAGGATTTAGCTAGATAGTAGTAAAGCCAGGATTTGGACCAATGCGATCTTGCTCAAATCAAAGCTTAATCACTAGGCTGTGTTTCTTCTTTGTTAGGTGGTTAGGTGGCATGACTGTGAGAAAATATGAATTACACATTCATTAATTTAATATTTTCAAAATATTATTTAAGCTCATTTTTTTCCTAAGGTATCAAAATGAACAAGAGGATATGGGAAGATTGTGTAAGTCCTGAAGATGGTGAGAGATGAAAAAGAGGAGAAATCCACAGTAGAAGAATAGGTGGTGCTAACTTAAACACGAAAAAGAAGAGTACATAATAACATTAAGAAATGGTCCTTGGGCTTAACAATAGAAAGGTCCATTAATACATTCATTAGTGAACTAAAGTTTGAATCCAGGCCTTCTATGCTGAAATTTTCTCCTGCTTCCTATTCTTCATATTCATTATGAAGTCCGCTTTTCATCTTATATATAACATTTAAGTGCTCTTCTCTCTTGTTTAGATTTGTTTGAAGTGATTGCAAATTGTCTATGTGATAAGACAGAAATAGGTTTATTAATGATTTAGTTCTTGCCTAAAACATAGGTTTATTTTTCTATTTCCTAACCCCACACCATGCAATTGCATTTTATGAAAATGTGAAACTGAATTATTGGTAGTTTTCTTTAAATATGTCCCTTAATTCCCTTACATTTCTGGCCTTTGCACAAAATGGCCTTTCTGCTTAATGAGCATCTTACTGAATTCTCTTGGTCTCTCCTCTTTTCCCATTGTATGCACAGGCTTGTCTCTTTGACCACTTTCTGTGGTCCTTTAGGCATCAGCCTTCTTGTGAAGACTTTCTTTCTTTTTTTTTTTTTTTTTTGAGAAAGAATCTCCCTCTGTCATCCAGACTGAGTGCAGTGGCATGAGCATAGCTCACTGTAACCTCACAATCCTCGTTTCCAGTGATCCTCCTGCCTCACCCTCCCAAGTAGCTAAGACTATAGGCATGTACCACCATGCCTTGCTAACTTTTTTTTTTTCTTGTAGAGACAGGTTCTTGCTATATTGCCTAAGCTAATCTCAAATTCTTGGGTTCAAACAATTCTCCTTCCTTGACCTACCAAAATGCATGAGCCACCACATCCAGCCAAGATTTTTGATTTCCAGAGAAAGTTTCTGCTTCCTTTTTTGAGAATGAAAGTAGTTACTATTAACAATTGCACTAGTACAACACATGTAAGCCAAGTCTATACTGGCTTGCAAGAACCAATTTTGAAATTTTCAAGAATTCAGCAAACTGGCTATTAAGCCCATCAGTGGCTTGAAATTGACTATGGTGGGTGTATTTGTATCATGGAAATCTACAAACACAACAAATCTGTTTTTGTTATTGTTTTGTATTGTTCTTCTGGAGAGCTGGTTTATCAGCACATCTATGAAAATAATACATCTATCATACAAATATATAAGTATTAATATAAAATGATAATATGGTTAATGTAATTAAGGTAACTTAGGCAAACAATTAAGGTGATGCTATATTCTTCATATTTTTACCCACTTTATAAAAGACAGTTTCATTTCTCTAAAAAAATTTCCCTATAGTCAGGCTAGAACTTCAAGGGAAAAAAATCTGTATTCTGAAGAATTAGGTCTGCATTTACATACGCTATCATCAGCAAACAGCACAGTTATAGAACTATGAAAATTGCAGACCTTTACAACCTGGCCTTTGATTAATGACTTAATTAAAGTAGGATTAATATAAATCTTTTGGCAAGAAAGAATGCTAGTGAAAGTGGAAAATATTCTGGCAATTTACCCTTTTAGCAATCATTGTAAGAGGCATTGATAACAGGATGATAGAGTCAAACACTTGAAGAACTCCTGGAGGAAAGGCTGATGTTTGCAAGCTATGCAAAAAGAAACAAGAAGCAAAGAAATAAAATTTGAATGACCACTACTAAGCCAATGTATAATATAACATACTTTTAATAAAGACCCTTAGCAAAAATTTCTCTCAGGTCTTGGTAGCGGGCAAAGCTGACTTTCCATCATTAATTGTTTCTAACTTTATGCACACTATGAATCTTGTAACTAATCCTGTTTGTTTTCCTTTTTTGATCTGATGTCTGGGAGATTAGAGCTATATTTGTAGCCTAAATATTTAATGTATGGAACCATGAGGGCATAAGTGTGAATGCTAACCCAAGTCCCACGTTTACTCTTCTCTATCTTTATTTTCCTTTTGTCTAATTCTTTTACCTTTATTTCTTCTTTTGTAGTGTATGCATTTTTGTAAATCACCCTAAGACCTTTTTATTCTGAAATGGGGTCTAAATAAATAGCACAGGCATGAGATGGGCACAGCAGCTAGTTCTGTAAACCACAGTTGCAGTGCTGGTTTCAAGGGACTATTGTGCCCATTATTTCAGCTTCTGCTAAAAAAGGCCCTAGCATACTGATATCCAAACTAATTTTGTAGTTATGAAAATTAAATAAAAAAGGTTGGGATGTGATCAATGTAATATGGTAACAAAGGAATTACTAGAGGCCAAGATTTATCCTTCAAGCCCCCCTGTAGTTACTAACATTGGAAAATGACTGGTTAATGACATGCTGGTTGCTTGGGCAAATTATGTCTTCCTTGATGTCAAGGACAATGATTCTTTGGGTAAACTTTTCTCCCAGTAACAGGAATACGATGGTAACCTAATGATGCAGTATAGATGCTTATTTTTAGCCTATACTATTACTCCACAATCTAAGTTATAGTTACGATAGTTCAACTATACATGTTAGTGTAAATAAGGCTTTACATATTAATTTTAACAGTCATATAGTATGTGTGATTTACTTTTAAAAGGCAAACATTTGTTCCATCAGAATATATACCTTTAGGCTATGTATTTAGCCATCATCACTCAGAAAGACCCCAAAATGTCTTAATATTATGTGAATGAGTGCTTGTACCTCTGGAGAAAAGCTGTGGCATCTAATATTGATGTTAATTCAACGGGATAAATAAAATACGACATGTAAGAGTCCATAAAATCAATATGTTGATATTGATATACTGTTTTATTTCTATGAATTTAAGTGTTTTTGTACCTAAACTAATTTAAATATAAGTATGTATTGATTTATATCATTTATATACACTTTAGCTAGCTAAAATGCCCCCTTTTCTTCTCATTGGACTATAACTGATATTTTTACAAGGTTAGAAAATTCAGAATCCTTTATAGAAGATGGCAAGGTAAAGAAATTTGATGGGGAATAGGAAACAAAGGGGATACATACAGAGTTACAGATATTGATATTTTAAAATCAGCTTTTGTCCGTAGGCTTATTTGTGTAAATAATTCTGCTGGGATTAGAGAGAAATAATAGGTAAACACGGCCTAGATTTTGAAATAAACCTAGCCTGTTTCACAACAAATCCAAAAGAGCCAGTGTTAATTCAGCAATTACTCTACATTAAAGGCATATTTAGGGTAAGTACTTAAATTGAAATGTGACATATTTTAGGACAGACTTCTAAGTATTTCTTTGCATTCACAGACATGAAGCCGCTGAAGTCTTCAGTGTAGCCCAGACTTTGTGTGGTGCTCTTTTTAACAGTGTTCACTTTTTAAAATTTTAAACTATGCAATAGGCCAATTCAAAAGACAAAAAAATACTACAGTTTTATTTTACTTCTCTTTAAAAACATATACATGTATTAGCATGGGGAAGATATTGTATTTTCTTATAACTTAAAATATCTACTATGTAAGGTAGGTAAATAAAATTTACACTGGCATTTAGCCGGACAATACTAGAATCTGGCTAAATCTGTGGAGAAGAACATGAAGGCAATTTTGTAATCTTTAATTCTGTACATATACCTTTATAGAAATCACAATATGTTCAGATTAAATATCTGATTTTAGCTCTTAATTGAAGTGGATGTTATTATTGCCATTTTACAATTTTTACTATAGGGATAAATTATAAAATGATGTGCCAAAGGTTACATGGTGATAGGGCTAGAAGTAATTCATTCTATTTAATGCAATATTTTTCTCAGCAGCTGTTGTTTATGCAAATAGTCATGCTGGGCACTGGAAATACATGGTATACAAAATTCTGTTCTAACAGTTGTAGAGAAAAAAGGCAATAGACCAAGAATTCTGTCTATGTCCAAGTTGGCTGTTTTAGAAAATTTATTTCTCTCATTCCTGATTATTTGAGATAAAAGACAACTGAAATTATTATATCATCAACTGCATTAGAAACTCAGGAAGCTGCATGTGACCAGAGAAATAGGAGCATATTTTAACAGAGAAAAAAGAGACAGAGAGAGGGTGGGTGTTGGGGGTAGAGAGAGATAAATTATGAGTCTCTGAAACGTCAGACTCAACCATGTTAAAATATGTAATTTCACGTTGACTCTGCTTCTTGCCACATTTATGCTGCCATTTAGCATTTCTATAAACATAATAAACTGATCATATGTGAAAACCTTAATGTTTATGTAATTACAATTTTTTTATATATAAATGAATAGGTGGTATGTTAGGAAACAGTTTCCATTTTTCTTAGAACTTTGTGGCATGAGTACATGATTGAAATGGGAAAAGAATGGGTAGAAGTTTTAAGATACACTTCTTTCCTCCACATTGTTCTAAGATAAGAGGTTGCAGAGCAGGCTTTTATTATCAGGCTGAAATACTCAACATGTAAATGTGAAAATAGTTACTGATTTTTATCCCCACCTGACAGAGTAATGAGAAATCATCTTTTCAAATGAAAATTTATTTTTGAAACATTGTGTAGTGAATAACAATGCATTTTAACTTAAAACTTCTAATTCAGATTCTTATACAGTAACATAATATTTGTTAAGGAAGAACAGGTATTTGGATAAAGAAATTGGGAAAGCAGTGAAGGTGTTGATAGATTTTTCAAACTATAGACAATGTTCGAATCTTCCATACATGTGCTTAACTGACCATAAATTTAAAGTAGATTGCAATGAAAAAAATACCAGTCTATAACTAAAGCTTCTTATGATAAAGATCAAAATTAACTATTGAAAACCAATAAAAAAAATAGAACAAAAATTTCACATACCATTTGGGAATAGAAAGAAACTATCTATAAAATGTGTAAGTCCTCAACATTATTTTGAACCTATCCTTCAGCCTTATCGCTGTGTAATTTGCAGGCACCAATAGGCATCTGCCCTGAGAATAGATTATTAGCACTTTTTGCCTATTTTGCTAATTAAATTCAAGTGGTATATAAATCCCACTTAAGGTATAAAGTGCAGAAGGTGAAGCAGAGAAAGAGAAAAATCAAAGCTCATGAAATAAAAGACAGAAAATGTCTTCCCTCGAGAGTCAATATTCAATTACTTCTGGCTCTATGATATAAAAATGTTTTTAAATAATATTTTAATGGTAACTACTGAATCACCTTTGGAACAACCACTTAAGTAAATAATAGTCTTTAACATCCCTGTGAACAATGTGGTAAAATAACATGAATGACATATCACATATAAAATTCAAGGCAAACTTTCTTCTGTATTTTAAAAAGATGGTTTTGGCCAACCTACGGTTGCAATTCTATGACAACTCTCAGAGTCTGTAATTAATGAGAAAGACAAATTGAGAGAGGGAGATTAACACCTGTGATTCGATGGTCATTAAGTCACAAATGTCCTATGTCACTCTGACCATATTTTCTCATTCTTCCTCTGCTTTCCCTTAATGCCCACAAGACCTTCTAAAATCAACGGGTTGCAATATTAGTCATTACATCATTCTGTTCTCACCTCGATTAGCCAAGACCTGCTGTTTCTTCTGCCTGATTGAAGCTAGTGCTGATTGAGAACAACAAGAAAACCTTCCTACACCTTCCTAGGAAAAATAACAACCAATTTCTTTATAAATATTTACATTGAAACGTTATTTATATGAAGTATTCTTAAGATTAAACATACCTGGGTATTTCCTCTGGGTTCCACAGTTTTAATCCTGAGTCAGGGATTTATAGACTAGTGAAAGTTCTATGAAAGTAACTATTTAATTGATCCAGATTTATTTAGTTAGTAATAATTTTGCTGCTCTACGTTACCCAAAAATATACTGACCAAATATTTGGTTTGGTTGCTCTGTGTAAATTCTGCTTCTCTTTATACTATCTCCATTAAGTAACAGATGATTGACCTCATGATTGTTTTTACTGAAATGATCAAGTTTAAATTACTGAAATGTGTCTGCTAAGTGGCTTGTAAAATTTTGCATATTTTCTCATAAAAAATGTAGTTTAAAATACAGTGACATCTCATATGTCAGGCCACTAGACTTCTGCCAACATCATATTTCCAAATCTACTGGTAACCAAAGAAAGCGTCTAAGAGTCGCAAAACATTTGGTTGAATCCGTGTACCTAATTCCCATCTTAAGCTTCATGATTTTTCAACATTAAGAAAACAAACAAAAAACACAAACTTTCCCATCAGGATACTAGAAGCTATAAACTGAAAGAAAAAAATGTGAGAAAGGCACAACAACAGAATAAGTTAAATGTCACAGCCAGAAATCAAAGGACAAAAACGCAGCCATGAAGCTGTATATAGAGAGAATATCAAGGGATGCTGACTGAGATGATCTGGGGGTATCAAGATAATATTAAATTATATTCGATGACCTCTGATTGAATTAGTAGGGAAATATATGCTTAATCTAATTCCTATACAAAGTATCCTATACTAAAAACCATTGCTTTGGTGCCTGAAGGAATAAGCCCCGGACTTCATTGCTTCCAAAATTTAATGTGCATATAAACCACCTTAGGATCTTTTGAAAATGTGGATGCTTGTTTGGCAGGCCAGGAGGTGTGGTCATGATTCTACGTTTCTAATCTAGCTAATGCCACTAGGTTTTTTTTTGTTTGTTTGTTTTGTTTTGTTTTTTTGGCAAGGGTATGGAATGCATTAATTCTCAATAAAATAAGGTAGATGAGATGTTACTGTATTTGATCTCAAATATTTTCTTGGAAATCTGAAGTAAAAACATACTACTCTTACAAGTCGGCAAGTTTATGTCAGTACAATTCATTCACTTTGGAAATGAGGAAATAGCATAATAATAAACAATTTTTAAGACGCGAAACATGTAAGAGGGGAATAAATAATAGTGCATTATTCAGTCCTTCAACCATATATTAAGCATGCATGAGGAAATTTCATTAAAACCTGAACTTGGTCAATACTGTGCAAAATTTGAAGTGAGCTACATCTATATCATACTAAGTAATATTCAATAGAATTCTGAATTCTCTTAATCTATATTGTTTCATTCTTTTTACATCATCTGGAAAATAAGCAACACACAAGGCAAGTTTTTTAAAGGATATTCTGTTTTCATTTCTACTTATGATGAAACACTGTGCTTTGTTCAATGGTAAAAAATCAAGACCATGTTCTTTGATTTTAAAAAATGCCCAGGCAATGATTTCCTGGTTCTGGATTTTAGGCACATAAATATGTGCATTAAAATATTCTATAAATAACCTGAAAATGGAAGAAGTTAAACACAACATTTGAAGTTATGAATTCATAGCCTTTATAAGCTTTATATATTATATACATTTCAACCCTGCCAAATTCCTTTACTCTGATATGCTGGGTTTACAAACTATTAAAGTCTAGTGACATTAATGTGAGACTTCCCTAACCTCACCATGTCTTCCATTATGAAATTGTCGTTCTAGATGCATTACTGCTTACTCGAACCTTTCTCACTTCCCTAAAAGCTTTTGCTAAGGGTGAGATTTCCATGTTGCTCCAAACAATTATTTAACCTCAAGTGATTAAACTAAACTAAAGTATCTACCATATTTGATATGAGATGAAGGGACAAGAGAATATTGTAAATAATATTGATAAAAAGACATACGACTTCAAGTGGTTTCCTAAAGGGTCAAGATATAAATGTATTTATGGTAAAATGTGAAAACCTTTATACAGGACAATAAAGAAAGAAAACAAGCTCATGATTTAAAATAATTAATTATTTACAGGTGATTCCCTCATTTACTTTACTTTGCAATTCTAGCTTTCATTTTAAAAATTAGGGCAGTATAGACAGCAGCTGTATAAACTCATTGCCTGTAAATATCCTCTTACTTCTTTTTTGCCCTTTTGGCTATGGAAAATAAAATTACATGTACTAAAAATGTTTTGTGGAGCTAGAAATAAAGCATAATCTATGTTAATCAATAAAATATAAATGATTATTTAGTAATTATTTCTTGTTTATTAAAATGAACAAAAATTCAAGACCCAACAAAACAGCTAAATGTTTAAACGATAGGTTATTTAGTGAAAGTATGTCCAAAAGGATTTTCTGGGAAAAACGATTAATTGATAACAATGTGAGTGCAAATCTGTCTCTTAAAATTTTAAAGCATATTGTTCAAAGTTTTAGCTTGTGTGCATGATATAAATTCCATACATTGTTTTCTCAGTGACAATAAAAAGCACAGTTTATTAAAAATGTAAGTAAAAATTAATTAAAATATCTTTTAAAAAATTGGTCACAGTTTTGTCATTGGTATATGGAGGTTGTTCCAGGGGCCCATCCAAAGCTCTTCATCATCAGACTGTGTGTGGTCACTATGAAATTCCAAAGCCTCCTTGATGTTCTTACTGTCAATCATGGACTCCTGTTCAACTGTGCTTTTCAGCCTGTTCCTTAGTGGCTTCACCGCTGTATTGTCAGTCCCCACAGGGCAAGGGGCAAATGTAACCAGAGTTGGTCTTGCATTCATTTTTTCAGTAGAAAATGGCCCCTTTGATAATGTGTTCAGAGGTACATTCTCCTCATGTGTCACTGCCAACTTGTCTAGTTTCTTAAAGGGCCCTCCCAGTCGAACAGGGGAAGCAACTTTTAAGTTGTCCGTGAGGCAGGCACGGCGGGTTCTCACCACAGAACCATTCTGTGCAATATATATATTGCCGTTGATATTACTGTGGATACTAGGATGGTGAAGACGGTTTCTCTGACATTCAGGAGCACTGTCTTCTCCAGTTGAGCTGGTTTCATACTCTCGATCAACAACTAACTTGATCATTCTTTTTCTTGCCCACTGATAAAATAAACAAAAATATGTGAGTCACTATCAAATAAATTAAAAAGGCAATGATTACATTGCCTGTGAAATCCAAAACAATGACATTTAGAAAGCTGTCAAAGGTAAATCACTCAAGAGAGATAGAAGGAAGCCAGTCTTTATTAACATACATTTCCTTTCATCAATCCTTTATTGGCTTTAGATCTTTCTTATTAATGTTTGAAAAATGTATTGTTGAGTTGGAAAGCAGACATTTCAGGAAACACATGTATTCTTTTAGATCAAATTACTGATCCACATGGAAAAAAATGTATTACTTTTATTTAAGGAGCTGATCCACTATTTGACAGCTGCTCTACTATTCAGGAAAGTTAAATTGAAAGGAATGAACAGCTTTAGTATATTCTGTTCATATTAACGCTTCTATTCCCAATATTTAAAAAATATTTTTAAACCACATCATTCTAATTTTTAATGTATTCTCTAGTTAGCGAAAACTTTTGTATAATTTAATGCATTTTGTATAATTTAAGCATTTATTTACTTGACTTTACTTATTTACTTGATGTATAATTTAATGCATTTATTTACTTGACATATCCTGGTTTTCTGGGTTGTCCCATTTAGATATACTAACTTAAAAGGAAATATCTTCTCAGCCTGCATCATTTACCTAGTAATACACAAAACTGAAAGCTAATTATTATACTAAACTTTCCTTTTGTAAGCAACTGGACATTTTCACAAATTCATTTGACTTTTACCAATCAACATTAAAAATAGCAAGAAGCAAGGGTTAAGCAATACTGTGTTTTTCTCAAAATAGTATCGCATTTTTGGAATATGTGAACTATCAACACATTGCATGCATTCTCATTTTCAGAACTATATTTCAAAATTATAGTTTATTTACCTAGAAAAAATTTTATGCCTGTTACATTTATTTTTAAATCCACTGTAGCTAATAATAACAGAAAATAAGCTGTAATAACTTTTAATTAATTGAAAAATGTTATTTCATTGAATTCCTAATACTTGAAGTTGCAGATACAAACTTACTTATTTGAACATGTTCATGATAGTTTTTATAATACCTTTGCCAGTTGAAACGTACATATATGCAAAAGTAGACGACTGTTAAAGATATAATTTGTTGAAGCTTGTCTTAGTATTTATTTTGAAAGATGATATAAAAACATATATAGTGTGTGTGTGTATATATATATATATATATATATGCCATCCATTCCAATAGACAGAGTGTCACTGATAATACATAATGCCACATTGCATTAACAAAAATCCTACCAGTAAATATTAAATATTGATTAGCTGATTGCATGTGTTCTGATTTACTAATATAGGAAGGATTAGTCAGTTTTACTCTAATACAGTCTAATATACAAATGGATTTGGACAACATATATATTCACTTTTCTGGCATGCTTCTGATCATAAGTCATATCAAAATCTTGATCAATTTCCTCCCTTTCAAGTGTCACTTTGGAGAACACACAGAAGGCACTGCACACGAGAGCACTCATCACAGCAAAACTTCCACCTACTGTGATCTCTTTCAAAGTGCTGTGTTGTAACCTTCAGAGTTTGCTCCTGGCGACTTCTTTTGGTTTGCATTCTTGCTTCTGTCATACGCTGGTACCTGATAGCCCCATGGACCTCCAGACTGACTTTCGCTACTACTGCTACTACTACCTGATTCTGATTCCTCCTCACTTTCCACACCTCCTTCCACCGAAGCTGATTCTGCACTGCCCTCTTCAGGGATATCTTGAGCTTCAGGGTCTGTACTTTCTTCCACAGGGGCTGGTCCACTTTCTTCTTCTTCTGAGTGTTCTTCTTCTTCCATCTTAGGTTCTTTTTGTTCTTCTTGTGGCTCCTCTTTCCTACCCTTGACTTCCTTGACCTCCTCAACCATGGGCCTTCTTCTTGCAAGCACAATGTTTTTCCTTGCTTTTTCTCCTTCTGACTCTGTGGATTCCGATTCTTCTGATTCAGGGGTGGAACTCTCCTCCTCCTCAGAGGGTGTCTCTGACTCAGATTCCTCTTCTGTAGTCTCAGACTCACTGAACTCAGACTCTTCTTCACTGTATTCAGTATAGTCGCTGGAGGATTCCTCCTCTGATTCTACAGTGCTTTCTGTTGCTTCCTCTTGGTCCAGAGTGAGTTTCAAATAATCTTTATCTTCTTCCTCAAGGCGTCTCTGCCACTCTTCACCCTCAAGGTCAACGATTCCTCTTTTATCAGCTAATCCTCTAACTTTCTTAAAAATCATGGGGAATATTCTGGCTCTCTTCCATGTTGTGTATGTAGGCTCAGCTGCTGGTGGTTTTTCGATAGTTACAACTACTTCTTCCTCCTCACTAGGCTCTCTAATTTCAACCTTTGGTTTTTTAATTTTCTTTGGCTCTTCCTGAAAATTGTGAAAATGCAATTGAAGTGTCAGCTTGGAGATAGCTATGGTATGACCTTGTCCCACGAAAGCTACGCAGGAATGAATCTGTGGGTGATAGCTTCATGCATGTTATATAACTGGCTTAAGAAAATAATCACAAAAATTTCTACTGCATATAGACAGAAGGTGATTAAGAGAAAGTAAATTATTTTATTTTAGCTTGTACTTTACAATACCCAAATATATTAATTTCCTTCTTGTTACTCAACGTTTAATTTTCCTCTTAGATCAAATAAAAAAGAAAGAATTATTGTCTCTTCCTTCCTTCCTTCTTCTGTCACTAGACTTAGGTTAATAGCTTTCTGTATTCCCTTGAACTAAATTTTCAAGAATTTTCAATAATCACGAAAATATGACGATTTATCTCATTTTATGAGAAATCTATTTTATGAAATTTTGCACATGTTAAAGCCACAGTGACATTTATTTCTTGTTAGTGTTGTTTTTGTATAAATTTGCCAAGTAAATAGTGAAGACAAAGTATAAGAATTTTATAGAAATGAGTCATGCTAATTTAAACATAAATTACATTATTCCTTGAAAATTATTTGTGGAAATAATTTACTTTTCTCTGATAATTGAAAGGTGGAGACTATATTTTTTCATGACTTTTAGTTTTGCTAGATAATGTGGGAGCAAAAGTAACCTTTGTATTGCAGAACTTTAAAATATATTTGCTTATAATATCTTTATGGAGCAAGATTTAGAATTTTAGAAAACATAATTTTCATTGTGCCCTTTCCAAATGTTTAACACTTTTAGAAGGAAATAAATTAAATGATCAAGAATTAATTTTCCTCCAAAGACAAGGCAATGAAACGGTCAGCACTGTGAAATTTCTATGGGAAATACGTACTAAGTGAAAGGAATTTCTAAAAGCTGAAATGTTCTACAGCCGCTAGTCACGTAGGGTTAAACAATATTTTTCTTGGAATATTATCTTACATAATAAAATTACAGTAATTACCTCTTCCTCCTCATATTCTTCCTCAGCTTCACCAACCACCTCACCATATTCCTCCTGTCCAGCTGGTGGTAACAATCGACGGCGACTCCCATATTGAGGCATTTCATACCTGTAATATAAACTTACATCTTTAAACAGTTTGTCATGTGATTTCTGTAGAATCTACCATGAGTGATCTGTTTCCTTCTTTTTCTTCCGCCATTCAATCGACAGATATTTACACAGCACCTATCAGGCTCCTTGTAAACTAGTTACAAAACTATAGAGTAAGAACTGCTACCTGATGACCAGTGATTTTTGCCATAATGGTACCCTGGAATAACAATAAAGAGAGTTGAGTTATTTCAGATACTCGTTTTTGGAGAAACTAGAACGAGAAAAAAGCCATATTGTGTCTTAACTAGCTGAAGAATCCAGAACACAAAATAGATACTTTGGAACAGTGTAATGGCTCATTCACCACATTAAATCTGTATGTTGGTAGCAAGAAGTTGCTTCAAACATGGTCTGTAATGGTTTTCACAATTTCTTCAGTATTTTTTTTGAAAGTGGTTAATTTATATGTGTACAAGTGACTTTTGAGACACTTATCAGTGGATTCTAAGGTGTGTTTTCTGTTTCCTAACTGCTCTTGGGCAAAACTTTAAACTGATTAGATAAAACATTAACATCTTATATGAAAGAAATGGTGAATTTAGGAATTGAGCAAATATGTTTCACATCTATTTCCCATATAAATAATTTTGAATAATTTTACCGCATTTCTAGAATTGCAATCGATATCAATGTAAAATATCAATATGGAACTCAATATAGAAAAATGGTTAAAACTTGGTTAAAAATAAAGCTAGATATACTATTCATTTTCAAGTATTATACTAGTGAGATCGACATGACATTAAAAACAAATTCTAGTAATAATAATCATTTAATAATTTCCTATTAATAAAATATTAAAATAAGAATCTGAATTTTAAAAATCTGAAGATGTACCCATGCTCATAACTGTAATAATCTTGTCCATATTCCTGGCCAGGATCAATTCCAGACTCCATGGATAATTCCTATTGTTCAAAAAGAAAAATTGCATTTGAAAACGAATTCTTATCACGTTTCAGGTCAAAGTCAGATTTCTACACCTAGAATTCCATGATTCTCAAAACATTCCTGCCAAAATAACTTTAAATACAAGTGTCAGTTAAAGCAATTAAAATTACTCTATTTAAAAGTGTTAGTCAAATCTATTCATTTTTTTCTGGCTGTAACCATTTGATACAAAATAAGGTTATATAATTTGACCTGAAGAGGAAAAAGTAATTTTTTTCTAATGGCAAACCTGTTAAAACTTGCAGATGAGCATTTTCACTTGTTTTTGGATGTCTTTTAAAATTATCAATCAATAGTTAATATTTAACTCAATTTTAAGTTAAATTATTAAGTGATGTTGGCCTTAAGAAAAATTATAACACTATCTACAGCATTTTTTTTCATCTCCCCACTAACAGTTTTCTAGTACCCAGTATTCTTCTATTCATTGAAACTGTTCTGATAAAGTCATCTGAGAACAAGAATTTAAGTTAATGTGTAATGCTTCCCAAGGATGTTTATACTTTAAAACATACTGCTGATTCTAAATTTAAGGGTTTTTTGTTTGTCTGTTTTGTTTTTTTGAGACGGAGTCTCGCTGAGTCGCCCAGGCTGGAGTGCAGTGGCGTGATCTTGGCTCACTACAGGCTCTGCCTCCAGGGTTCATGCCATTCTCCTGCCTCAGCCTCCCGAGTAGCTGGGGCTACAGGCGCCCGCCACCACGCCCGTCTAAATTTTTGTATTTTTTTTTTTGGTAGAGACGGGGTTTCACCATGTTAGCCAGGATGTTCTTGATCTCCTGACCTCGTGATCAGCCCCAATCGGCCTCCCAAAGTGCTGGGATTACAGGCGTGAGCCACTGTGCCTGGCCTCTAAATTTAAGGTTTTTAAAGGAAAAAAAGAATTTGTTAGAATAGAGGTCCTTTTAATATTTCCAGTTCTAAACTCTAAACATACTGATTGATTTCTGTCAAACTCTACTTATAGAAAGATGTTTTTCTTGAGATATACATGTGAAAACGGTTTCTGATAACTATCAAATGCAATTTCTCTACATTTCCCTTTTAAATTCTACTTTAACATGTTAAGCAGGTTAAATGACAAAGGTTAACCAAATTCATTTCGCAATGGAATACGAGAAGAGAGGGGGGAAAAGGATAGGTACTCACATGAAAATAGATTGGTACATATTTCTATCATCTATTATTTATAAAAATTTAATTTTGTTGATCCAGGAATAGTAATGAGTCAGGAAATAAAAAGCCCTCCTCTGAGGGCACAAATATGTCATTTGCGAAGTGTGGAAATTTACAGCCTGCATGATTGATATGGATAAAGACCCTCAGTTGTGCTTGGTGTGGCCAACATCATTTTAAAAAATTGAATTCATTACTAACAGTGCTAATCAGAAAATGACACCAACACTGTGGATGTTGGTTTCTCTTGAAAAATAAAAAGATGGAAACACTAGGATCATATTTTTACATTCCAATAATCTAGTTGGCTAGATTAATTTTTACAGCAAGCATGTCCTCTCCTGTTTATGACAGTATCCCCAACGACACTTTTCTACATTCATACCCTAGTCACTATGAAATCTGTCATCTGCTATTGCTTTGTGTCTAATAAACTCCATTCACTTACATTACTACCCTAGATCCTGTAGGTATTGACGCTTGCATTACTTCTTCTATCTTATAATTTTGCCGTTTACAAATACTTTGTGAACCTACTCTAAAGGAATCCAATTTTGATGTTAAAACTAGTATAGTTTATTCACCAGAATAACTAATATTTAGACAAACCCACGATGAACAATACTATGTATTTGCAGGGACACAGAAGAGCTAAAACTCTCATCTAAGTCTGGAGAGATTATTACTTGGTAAAACTTTTTAGAATATGTTTGGCAATAGTACTAAATTAAATATAACCATTTCTTCTTTCACAGAACTTAAATTTGTAGTTAAATACCCAACAGAAACATGTACACTTGTGAGAAAACACATTATTCGTAACAGTCCCAAATTGGAAACAATGCAAAAGTCCATGAGATAAACACGCTACCACATCGCACAACAACATAAATGAATCTCCCAAACAGAATGTTGAGCAATATAGGTCAGGTACCAACGAAATATATTATATCATTCTATTTATATAAATTTCAAGAACTGACTAAAGAATATGTTACAGGCCAGAAGGAAAACTGATATCTAGGTGTTGACATAGAAGAGCTTGAGGGGCATGTGCACTCTGTAAAAATTCATCTAGTTATACAGTATGGTTTATACTTTTCTTATGGGCGTAGGTTTTATTTCAACAAAAATATATTTATTATAGGAAGGTTGAAGTGTGGGGGAAGGAATGAGGTTAAGAAAGACCTGGAAGAAACTGAGACAAAAAGTCTAGATTTAAGTTATTTCAAACTAAGTACTTTGTAAAAACGTTTCCTGGAGGTAAGCTAAGAATTTTAGGGTATGTAAAACTCAGTGTAATGACACTGGTTTAAATGAAGCAAATAGGTCTCAGAACTAATATTTTCAAACTGCTTGACCAATGCACGTTTAATTAAATACATACAGATACTGAGAAAATAACTTCAAACAGTTTTGAAGTAGACTTTTAACAACATTAGGTAATAGTAAGAAACACGAAATAAAAATTTCAAGTAAATATTTATGGAGAAATAATGCAACTGAGTGGATTTTGGATTTTAGAAGTCAGCATCAAAGAATTTTCTTTACATAAATACTTTTTCTTCATTAAGGGAAAATAACGCTCAGCTCTTGCTAGCTACAATGCATATGGCATCAATTGCATTAAAAATGTAATAAGAAGTATAGAAGGGATGCGGATAGGAACCCAGGAAACTCAGCAAGATAGCCCTTGATTCAATCAGTCACTCTGTATTTCTGAGTTGAGTAAAGAGGGATAGGAACTAGCAGAAGGAAATGATCTAAAAGGTCCCTCTTGGATGCTTCCACCACCCATGAATGAAGAGCAGAGCCATCAGTCGTTAAAAAAAAATTTGAGGAAAGAGCCCGGGTGCGGTGGCTCACGCCTGTACTCCCAGCACTTTGGGAGGCCGAGGTGGGCGGATCACAAGGTCGAGAGACAGAGACCATCCTGGCCAATATGGTGAAACCCCGTCTCTACTAAAAATACAAAAATTAGCTGGGCATGGTGGCACACGCCTGTAATCCCAGCTACTCGGGAGGCTGAGGCAGGAGAATCGCTTGAACCCAGGAGGTGGAGGTTGCAGTAAGCCAAGATTATGCCACTGCACTCCAGCCTGGCGATGGAACAAGAATCTGTCTCAAAAAAAAAAAAAAAAAAATCGAGTAAGGAACTGCTGACCAGTCAGATCCATGAGTCAACCTCAACCAACAAGGGAATGCTGGCCCTTTTTGTTGTTCCACACAGTCCCAGTAGACTGTAACAACCCCTTAGTTGATGAATTCTAGATTTTAGAAAAGTATGCAAAGTAACACACTAGTGATTTTCTTGGGTAGATCAAACACTTAATGTAATTTTTAATATTCATTTTTGCTGTCCACACAGGGAAAACATAGAATTAACTTAATATTTAATTATTATAAACATTTATACTGATGCAAAACAAAAACAACAACAATAATTGTAATTTACTGAATTTCTTCCTGTTACATTCCAGTTGTTGAGCTAGGAACTTACACATTTATTAGATATTACTGCTAACATTTTATAGAAGATGAAATTGATGTTCAGCAGATGTGTATCTTGACTAAGGTCTTGCATAAAGTCATTGGTGTTTGGATTTCAACCCTGAGTTTTCCAATTCAAATTTTATGGAGCCCTCTCCATGGAAATTTTTGCTAAAACCTTATAAAAGTTTAATATTCCTGCCACACAACCTCCAGATTTTGGAGAGTAGATTCTAACCAAGAAATGCCTCTTTTTAGCAAAGACAGAATTCTGTACTCAAGGAAAAGGAATAAAATTTTTGTAAGTGGAGCTTATGAAATACTAAATTTGCCGTAAAATTAAAAGTAGGATGTCTGTGTTTTTATTTTTAATTACATATATAAACATAATAAGTAAATACAATAATATATATTTATTATACAAAAAATATCTTTTTCACATTGCAGAAGAAAATGCCATAGGCAATTGGTAATATATGTGTCCAAAAGAAGTATTTTGAATCACATAAAATGATATTTAAGTACAGATATCAGCATTCTGTCTTTAAACTTTGCATAATCTAAATCTGATGTCAGGAATGGATAGATGAATTCAGATTGATTAAGACAAGTAACTGCTGATCGGGTTCATTAATTGCTTCATTCAATGAATGGCCCGTATTTATTAGGAATAATGGGCTTGTCTCATTCCCAGAGAATGAGGCTAAAAATTTGGAAGTTGAGCTACCAGCAACTTCAGGAGGTGATTTCTTGGTTTCTTTTTTTTGAAGTTATTTTGAAAGACTCTTTTCTTTTCCTTTAAAATTATGCCACATTGGCAGACACCCACTCTGCCTACAAGAATTAATACAATAGATCTTAAAGTCACAGTGAAGGCTCAGTGAGGTTGAAAAGAAAATGAAAATTGATACCTCTGGTTTAAGAAGAGAGGGCCTCAGCAGTTGCTGTTGCTGTCAAAGGAAATTAAAATAGAAAAAGATTTAGAAAATAATTCAGATGGGAAAGGTAGATCATGATTGAGAAGAGAGGAAAAAAAGGCGACAGTTTAAAACGTGTTTCCTTGGGATTATTCATTATTCATGTGTTAGCTACCAAAAGCATTAAATATTTTAACTAATTCTTTATATTGGAACATAAAATAAGAATTCATTTGTTATGTTTTAATTTCATCATTCTTCTAGTTAATGACAAATTTAATAGCCTTAATAAACAGGAATCTATACAGATTTTTGTTTTGTTAAGCTCCACAGTACAAAGAGTTATTTATGTTTCTAAAAGTACTGTGTGTCATATAATTACTTTTATCAAGTTTAACCTTGTTTTAAGTTGCCCTTCTTTTTTTCCTTCCCAATCACATTAAATGTGATAAGATTCATTGGGAAGAAGAGCAGAACACACAAAACGATAAAGTTGTAATGTATCTATCAACATATTGAAGACATGCTCTCCATTTCTTCTTCTTACCAAAGTGTGGATTTCTTGCACTAAAACATTAAGTGTGTTTTCAGAATGATTAGGAAAGTCATTAATTATCAGATTTGGTAGGAATTGCTTCCTGCCTCTTCCTTCTTTCACTTGTATTTATTTAAAGCTAATACAGTCACCATTGATCTGTTTCATAATAATACACACTTTAACCAGATAAAAACAAGATACACAATTCAAATTTTGGGGTTAGTAACTCTTTGGAGGGAAAACAGCATATTAAACTAAGTATTGGAAAAGTGGGTAGTGAGGTTCTGGGAGGTAATTCCATCATTGAACCCACTGTTTAAACTGGCTAGTAGAACAACCATTTGACTGAAGGGATATCCTTTTTATAATACAGTTGTTGGTGAGTTAGTTATTTTACTTATAATGAATTCTAAACTACAATCCAATTAGGTCGTATACTTCTCTTGATTGAGAAGCTGTATGCTAAATCAAACTAGGTTCGCAGTGACTTCATTGGTAACATCACCTGCAGTACAGCTGGCCAAATACTACTGGCCAGAATGCCCAGTAAGTTCTCTGCAGACAGAATCAAATGAACACAGTAGAAAACCCAGAGCTTTCTAACATTCTGATTATTTTTAAAATCTTTAGGATCTCAAGCTTTAACCTAGTGATAGGATGGCGCCTTGAACTGGTAAAAAGATCAAAAGTTAAGTAGTCCTATATATATATTCTTTGTTTTTTTTTTCTTTTTCTTTTTTTTTTCTTTTTTTTTTTTTTGAGACAGAGTCTCACTTTTGCCCAGGCTGGAGTGCAGTGGCCTGATCTTGGCTCACTGCAATCTCCGCCTTGCCGGTTCAAGCAATTCTCCTGTCTCAGCCTCCCAAGTAGCTGGGACTACAGGCAGTAATCCTAGTTTCTAAATTATATGTATAGCCTTAGACAAATAAATTTTGGGGAAATGTCAGAATACTGAGTAATAGTAATGCAGAACAAAATACATGTATCCTTAAAAAGGTAAGCAAGTGATCTTTGACCATTGAATAAGAGATTTAAAACCTTAAAACAGGGAAGCAACATATATAAAAGAAAATAAATAGCATAACATACTAATATGTTTTTGCTGAAATCAAAGAAAATAAACTAGTTCAAAAGAATGTACATTAGTCTTGCCTATTACACAAGTATTTTCCTAGTATGCTTGTTACGACATCAACACCATAAAGCCCTTACCTCTGATCCATAACCTCTCCTGCAAGGCAGAAATAAATAAATCAGTATTAAACATCTTAGATTTTCGTTATTAAACAAAATGACTGACAGATAAGGGCTTTAAAAAATGTCTGAGTAAAACTGAGAAGACAATTTCTACTAAACACTATCTCAGTGGGAAGTATATTTTGTGGAATTATCAAAACAGGAAGATCATGGTTTCACACCTGAATTACTAAAATAATGATCAACCCAGAGCCTCGTTCCATATGAGCAACAAAACATGCAAAATCTATTTTATTTCAATAGTGTATAATGACAAACTTTGACTCTATTATTATCAATCAATTTGGATAAAAAATATTATACATGATCTCTGTTATACACAAGTCTTGATATATATACTAATCCTTAGGGGAAGAGATATGCTTTATACATGAAGAATGTAATAAACATAGGATGAAAATTATGTCTATGATTGAATATATTCTTCCAAATGATTGTATGATATTTTCTTTATGTTAATTCTAAAAATAATACAAACTATTGGCTGTCCTTGCAGGGTCAATTATAATATTAGAAATTAAGTGAAGAAGTTTTTAGAGCTTTAATAGCCAAATATTCAATATTACATAAAGATTTATAAAGTTCACACATCACAAGATGGTGAAACGTTTGACTATACTTGAGGGGGAGAAAAGAATATAGAGTTTTCAAAGTTGAATGTTACTAATAAATAATGAAAATGTTCTATGTGTTATTTTTTAAGCAGTTAAAGTGTTAAACTGATGCTGTCAACCATGTTATGTAGAATTAATCAATCAGTGTAATGAAGAATTATTACAAAGAGGCACATATTACAAAGAGGCACATGCATAACTTTCTAAAATCCAACAAAAGAATCTCTGTAGAAAAATTTTTAAAAAATGTTGAGGCCTTCACAAAGTAATTCTACTTATCAGAAAGCATCTTGTATGGTTTATGCATTGTATATTGAAACTGTTTGTAAAAAAAAGTAAATACAATGCTTACTTAAGCTTCTCAATTGATTCTTTAAAATGGTTCTGCAGTGAATTTCGTAGAGTGCTTACACGGTTCTGCCAATATTTATAAGACTGATAATTCTTCCAGAGCCTTTAGAAATTGTAGACATTTTCAACTTTTACCAAATTTATATTTTTCAGAAATAATTCAGGTAGGGAAAGCTCATATTTAGGTTTAAACAATGACAACTGAGTCATATACCTTATAAAATATCCAACCAAAGCCAGGCTTTATTTTTTAGACGATTTCTTCTGACTCCTTTTATTAGCAATGTTTTCCATCAATGTGAAAAATAAAATATCAATAGATAAACTATAACTCAATGTTAATGTTTCCATTCACATTTTTGTTGCCTTTTATTTGGTTATTTGTATTGCTTGTCTTGGCTCAAAGGCAGAAAGTTACTTGAAAGAGGTACATAACAGAACTACTACTTTACCTGTGTGCTTTCAAAACATGACTATTGATACTTATAAAGCCAGTTCATATAATATCGATGCACCTCTTTATGCAATTCATAATCAATTGTATTATTTATTTTATATCATGTATATGTATCACTGTTTACTTTTAACAATAAGGACAAATGTTTGGTCATCTTTCTTAAGTCTTTATTTAAAAGGTATCTAATAATTTCTTATGCATTAATGAGATCATAATAAATATTGAGAAAAAAGTGTTACTTTTCTCCTCTCTGGTTGTCAGGTTGTAAGCAGTTAGGGTTTGAGAGGAGGAAGAATATTTAGGCTTGTGTACTCAAATAATACTAAAAGGTCTCATATAGAAGATATTTTAACTGACTTTTATAATGTATCATAATGACATTAGGAATCTCCAAATACAATGTGTCAGAAAAAGACTGGCTTAAATATAAAACACAGGTATCTATGTTTCAATTAAAAAGTACAGAATAATAACAAAACTTTCAGATTATGTAAATAGTAAAATGTTATAGAAAAAGGCAATATAACAATTTAATAGGGCTGTAGGTACCTACACAAATATGTTTTTTGGACTTCTCTTATTTCTTTTGTTACTATTTATAGATTTATCAAGAAATTATAAATTTTACATTTGCAAAAAGCTGGTGTAGATATTAGCTTAGAAAAGACACACTCACATTAAAGGCTTACACAATTGTGAATACCTTGTCAGAGTCCGCCAAATAGCACAAGTTCTCATGCATATGACCAGCTGCCAACAAAAACTCCAACTGAAGTTTTTCAGTGAAAGAAAGAAAAAAATCACGTTCAAGAACCCCAAGAAAGTAATTACTCTTGATTTCGATGAAAAGATTTTGAAGCAGATGGGCTAATAAAAATAATCAGATTTACAGATTGTTTTCTGTCTGATCTTGGTAACTAGGAATGCCAGGTCAAATTATTGAAGAAATATGAGGGATGAAGAAAACCTCTGAAATAACGCATTGAAGGGGGCTCTCAACTTATATTCATATACTTCCAATAGTAATTATCAGGTATGAGTTTTGCCTGTATTTTAGAATTGTACCCTTCTCCATGCAAACTTATATCTTCTAAAATCTTAAAACTCCAGAGTGTTTTATAAGTATTTGTTTTAAACACTTACATGTGCATTCAAAATGTGAACTTCCAGTAAATAAAACCTATTCCATGTGTTTCATGGGAAAAACAAAGTAATTACTTGATGGTCACATATTATACATTATATACTAATATTGAAAGTATAGTTTCCTTAGGAAGGAAGGGACATAGATAGTATCTAGCTTAAGTGATGCTGTTCGAATTTAACAATTGGAGCGCTAAGAACTATTACTACAACTACAGAAATCTCTTCCCAGAGTATACAGTTTTATTTTCTTTGTTTAAAACAAAGAGCAGAAACCTAGGTAAAAGAGTGATTGATAGTTCAGCAAATATCACTTCTCTTGGTTTTTCTATTTAAGCTTTTTATATTTCATTTATTAAACTGAAGATCATACTTTCTTTAAAAAGGAATCTTATGAAAAAATTTAAATTAGGGAGATGATTAATAATATGAACAAACAAAATTAAACAGCACTTTTTAAGCATCTGTTGGAACAATGAAATGCCTTACAAAAGTCAACGACTCAAGATTTATTTTCATTATAAAGAAGGGAAGGGAAAGCACAATGAGAAATAAAGAGAATAAGACAGCAACTGAAAAAGTATAAGATTTATCAAATCCATAAGCATACTACTAAATCCATAAGCATACTACTAAGATAAAAGCAAGTCAGAGTAAAAGATGTTCTTATCAGAAAACAGATGACTACATGTTATAGCACCTGAGATTTATTTTGAAATACCTTATGTCTGTCATCTCCTACAATCTAGGTACATTATATTTTACTTCGGTAGTATTTCTTCTTACCAAATACATAGGCTTCAAGAAAAAACAGAACCTATCAATCATATCAGTTTTAACTTATTTGTAACAGTCTGCTTTTTTCTTGGAACATTCATATAAAACTACGATCAAAAACTAAATGTAAATGTTACTGCATCCACATGATAGACATGCCTTTGGTTTAAGTTGGGTATCTAATTTTCATGCCCACATATTCCCACTAAAAAAGAGATTAAAATTACTTACTTTTCAAATAAATGTAGAACAAATTATGCTACTTTGTAGTTTTTAAAAAGTAAGGTAAATCTATTATATGAGTGAGTTAGTAGTGATGAGGTTAATATCTTTTTAAATTAAAAACGAGAAAAAAAACTGCATTTCATTGAATTTGGGGTAAAATAATAGAGTCTTCTTTGACGTTCAAATTTGATGTTCAACTTGAAGACTATGATCAACAAGAGGTTTGCCCGACTAAAATAAGAAAAGCAACATTACAGTGAAGTAGATTGACTGTGAGATTGTTTTTCAGTTCCCTCGACAATATTGTTCAAACTCCCCTTGTTTTGTTCAGATGTGATTTCCATATTTGTTACTTCTGAAGGGCACATAGTTTGAAGTTCTGAAACATTTGTGCGTAGATAGTTTTTTTCTATTTGACTGTACATGTTAGCTACTGATTTTTCAAGTTCTGCTAAGTTTTTAACGTGTCTGAGGATGCCTTTTGGTTCTCTCTGAGGGTCTGTTTTACACACTGTCGTTGTTGATAGCTGTGTCATAGAGGACTTAATTTTCTCGGCAGGCATCAAGTTGGTCGTGCATTTAACACCTGTTATACAGACACACTCTGTGGACAGAAATGAAGCTGAAGGAGGTGGAGGGCAAGGAATAGAAGGAGGTGGTGGAGGAAGAGGAGTTGGAAATGGAGGTAGAAGAGGTGGTGTTGGGGGACCAGACGTTGAAACGGAAAGTGGAAAAAATGTAGGAGGAGGAAGAGGAAGAGGGATAGAAGGAGGAGAGGGAGGAGGACAAAAAAGAGAAAAAGGAGAAATGTCAGGAGGAGGAGCAAGAGGAGCAGGAGCAGGAGGAGGAGAAGGAGGAGAAATAGGAGGAGGAGGGGGAAGGGGACAGGCAGAAGGAGAGATGTTTGGTGGATGGGCAAAATTTTCAAAAATATTTCTTTCGGTTTCAATAGGTAACATACAAATAGGTGTCTCTCTCCTAGAGAGTGAAGAATGTAAAACACAAGGCCTTGAAGGAGAAAGTTCCAAGGAACACTCAGCAGGAGAACTGATGACATTAGGTTCTGATTTGAGTTCCACAGTTCTTGAAACAGTTGGCAAAGTGGAGAATGAGAAGTGAGGCCTGGGAAAGCAAAATGAAGAGTCTGAAGAGAGAGATTTCAACTGTTCTGTTCCTTCTATCATCAGTGTTTCACCTTGCCTTATTTCCTCTTTCTCTGTCAAATTTGCCTCTTCAGTTGTAAGCAATGGATTGCTGCTACCTCTTTTGTTTGTACAGATTCCAGTGTTTTCATTTTCAGCTTTCTGCCTGGTGCCTTGCCACTGCTGCAGATCTATGATCTCTGGTCTATTTGGAACTTTCCTCATCAGCCTCCTGGGTAAGCTGACTGACTGACTCCACAGCCTCTGAATCTTTTCTCTTGGGCCCCTCAGAGACTTACTCTTGGCTTGTATTTTGGGTGAAAATGGGTCTACAAAATCTGTTCTCTGTGAAATGTCTGAATTTGTTGATACTTGACTTATGTTTTCCTTATAAAGGGGATTATGGGCACTTAAGTCATCCTCATCAGATAGAAATGTGAATTTTCTTGCAGACTTCAGTTTGTTGCTCTTAAGTGATCCGTCTACATGAGCTGACTTGTGAGCCTCAATAGTATTGGAAGAAAAGGGCATCACAACTTGTTGATGTTTCCTGTCTTCTGAGACTGAGTTATTTCCCCTGCTTTGTTGAAAATGGTAGAGAAGGAAAAGACTTGAAAGAAAAGAAGATAATGAAATGTAAGGAAACAAGTTGTGACACAGCTTTCATGAGAAAGATGTTTTTATGGCTCTCATTACTATTAAATACTTAAAAACATCAAAGGCCAAACAACACTAACCTACTAAAGCAAGACATTATTTTAATTCCCTGCTCTTAGAAAGGCAGGGCAGAAAAATCTTAGAGTTGTGAGAAGAATGAGAAATGTAAATGAAAAAAAAAGTACTCATCTCTAGATTATTTTGGAAGAGAGTATTTTTTGTTTTTGTTTTTTTTCAGCTAGTGTGATACAGCAAAGCATCCATGTCCACACGTAACAGTTCCCTTATGCACAAATCACAGTTCTTCCCATTGCAGAACACCATCCTTGCCTGAGGATGCTCAGGGCTGCCTGTTACGCATAGAAGATTCTTAGCTGTATCTGATTCAGTACTTCTGTCCTAGAGCCAAAAGTAATCTCCTCTCTGAGCCATCATGTGGAATATCCTGTTCTCCAAATTAAGAGAATTAAAATCACCAAGGACAGATGGGAGTTTGTCTCACAGCCCAAAAATCACAATTGAGAAATTGAATGTATGCTAGAATTGTGACAGAGGAGTTTTTCTTCTGTTTAAATTTTGTGCTTAATTAGTTTTAAAACCTTATACATAATACCAATCAGGAAAAATTGTTTTAAAACCTTATAAATAGTACCAATCAGAAAAGATGTTGTCAGTAATTTCTTAGACTGATCTGGATCAAATTTTACTTAAAACTCACCTTAACAAAAAGATTGATGCTAAAAAAAAAAATCACTTTTTGATATCACTGAAAGGCTTACTTATGCACGGAAACTGAATCATAGGTAGTTGTGAGTCATAAATAAAGTTGCATACATCAAAGATCACAAATTAAATGGCTCTAAGGAAAGCATTTGGACCCTTCTCCCAGGATTGTTGGCTGATTGATAGGTGGTTCCGAATTCTCATTAGCTTTTACTCTCAAGCCAAAACAGAATAACATTTATTTTAGTTACTGCTTAATATTTACCCACTTAGCAGGAATGAAATAAAAAAGAAATATTCTGAATAGAAATTAACTAGCCATATTGAAAAATTAGGGTGATAGTTTAGGCAACAAAATAATAAAGCCACAGTTGTTAATGTGTCTTTTGGCAAAGATACGAACTATAAGAAAGAGAAAGAAACAATTCACACAGGTAGACCTGGAGCATCAAGCCTACTTGGACAACAAAGAAAATTCAGACAATCTGGACTAATCAGAGTGCAAACAAACACTTTTACTCTTCGAATCTTGAAAAGTATTTTTCAAATATGGCACGAACAACTGGGATTGATATTATATACTGGTTGTTTTTGTAAACAAACATTTGTTCGTGGTTTGATTTCTCTTGGTAAAGCACCCAATGGATATAACAATATCACATCACTTTGACTAAAAGAAATCTATAAATAGGTTTCTATTTATAGATTTGTAAATTTTAAGTTCTTAAAATTTAAGAATTTTTAAAAACTAATTTAAAAAAATTAAAAACAAGGAGAATTTTGAAATTCCTTTCAGTAGGCACAGGTACCATCACAGCGAACACATGTTTTAAGCTCATGCCATCAAAAGGAAATTGGGTGTGGAAGACAAAACTTTCCTTTTAACAGTAAGTGAGTCTGTGGCAAAAGATGAAGATCACTGTATTTACAGTACAACAGCATTTTAATCTGTTCTATTGTATCTATTTTTCTAACGCTCTTCTATTAGAGTGATATTATTTACTTACTTATGCCTATGTATCCACAGGTGAGAAACAGAAAACATGTGATAGAAAAAAAGAAGTTTTTACTAGAGTTAATTTAAAACAATTCTGAAAATATGAGCAGGAACTTGCTTTAAACAAACACTTAGTACGTATATCAAAAAAAAGGCATGTTTTTATATTTTGTTATTATTCATATGAATGACATTTAATAGTAGATGAAATCAAATGACATTATTTGAATGTCTTTTCACAGAAAATTGTATCTAATAAAGTCTGTTTACTATACATAGATAAAAATTCACTTCTATTAAACCTGGATGATGCCAATCCTAAAATAAAAATTTTAAATGAGAGTTTAAAAATTGCTTCTATGATGTCTTAACTCTGTAAAACTGGTTAATGCACACTGACTTTTAAAGTAGATATATTTTGTTTGGAAGAAAGTAAATATACAACTACTATGATGACAATTAATTACAAAGTAATTATAGCATTCATAGGAAGTTATCATACGAAGTTATTACTTTGTGAAGTAGTTTTTCCAAAATGATCTTTGACTTTGTTCTTTTTAAGATAATTGATAATAATCATTTAAAACTAATTCATTTTCTAGTAACTTAATGCTTAGAATTCCTGTAAAAAGTTCTTGAATAGATAGATAGGTTAAACATTTACTAAAGATAAGATAATTAAATATGTAGAACTTACTTAAACTATTTCAATGAATACATATATTACAATTGCAAAATCTACTGAGTCTACTACAATTGTTCAAGTAAAAATAATCTTAGGTATTGCTATTTGAAAATTACTGTCATCAAACTATGCTGATTCCAGATGATGTTATAGTATACCTGTTCTTATTAATTTAAAATGAATACATAATTCATTAATTTCATATATAAACACACAACTTTACACATAATCCTTTTTTTTAGTTTCTAAAGATCTTTGCTTGAGAGAGGTCATTAACATACTCAAATAGAATCAAATCATATTGGCTCAATTCCTACATTCACCAATAATTAATTACAAAAGAAACAATCATTTTTCAACTTACAAAAAAGGTGAAAGCATATATCTAAAGCATGAACCCTGTATTATGTCCTTATTTTGGAAATAGAATGTCATGCTTTAACCTATTATAAATTCAGATTTTGTGTTAAAATAATAGCATTAAGATCAATTTTAACATTAATACGACTATCCTAAACAAAACCTTGTATAACATTATTAATATGGTAAGTAACCTGAACACATTTGTTTAAAACCAGCTTTTCCATTACCAGGTCAATTTCATGATTTTTTAGGCTTTTCTTATTGCTACTAGTAACTGATACGGATGTCACATGTAATAACATGTTATAGTCCTTCTACTCCATCAAATTCCAGTTAATAAAAGGTTTTCTGGATTTAATTGTCATATTCAAAATTGTAAAATATTCTTGGTTGTTTTACATATCATGTCCAAAAGCAGTTATTCTTGAATTTTTAAAATACTGACAAACTGAACATCACCATAAGGAATCCAATTATGAGGGTAGCATCATTATACAAGCAACTGTGAGGTCTTTTAACAGTTACCAGTGTCTTTCAAAAATGTATGATTTTTTAAATAGTGACTACAAGTTTCAAATCGTGCAGGAGAAATATTCGGTAATCACCGCAGTCTGAGAGTAATAAAGTGAAAAAAGCATTTTCTAAGTAGTTGGGAATTTAATATAGAAATTCTGTAATTTCATTGAGATTTTAATTTCTATATCATATAACGTCCTAAAAGTAGTATCTCAGAAAATACTACGATTTTAAACCAGAGAATTTGGTTTTGATTACCAAATAGGGATCGGTTTGGATACCTAATCAGGATTACTATTTTATGATTGTGCTTTATTTCTCTCGTCTCCTATGCAAAAATATATTTTTCAGAATCTATTTATATATTTATACATATATACATATACATTATATATATGTAAAAATGCATGACCCTGAGGATTGAGATATTAAATATTATACTCAAGCTATAAATGTGCAATTGTCTCCTGAAGTTGAATTCTGCTTTTCTCTTAGCTTTCTTTAATTTCTGGTTTGGTTTTGGCTATTATTTTTCAACTTAACCTTTCTTAGATTTTCGTCTTAACAAATTTTCTCTTGAAAATAATAGAATAAAATAAATAGTCCATGTAGGCATTTCCACATCAGATTGAAATTAAATACTCACCACACAGAATTCAGTAAAACCCAACTACTTCTCAGAGTTCCTGAACGGTCTACTTACATTGAGCTGTCTCCAAGTTCTTCATAGAGATGCGCACCTGGCGGAGGCGGCGGCGGCGGCGGGGGCGCTGCCACTGGTGCAGGAGCCGGCACTGCTGGTTTAGCCGCGGGTAATGCGGCCTGAATTCGTGCAGTCTTTGTACACTCAGCTTGACGTCTTGGATAAAGTAAGGATGGCTTGTAAAACTCATTTTAGAAATCATAATGCTTATCAATAAGCCACCTTTTAATAATGGGGTCCAGTTATCAGGGGAACCCACTAAAATTATTTTACACAAACATCAATTTATAAACAGATGTAATTACAAAAGCATCCCCACAGGGTATCATTTGCATATAATCCCTGCTTTGTTCTTGAAAATAGCTATCTCTTGAATAAGGGGTAGAATTCAGCAGACATATTTGCAAATTAAATTAAATGATAATCTTAGAGAAAGCAAAATTTTAATTAAAATGGGATGGATAATTAATTGGTAGTTTAATGAATCTCTTTCATAAGATGAGGCATATTAAAGATAAGATAGATAATTTTTCTTTATTATTTGTCTTTTAAAGTTATTTGAAATGATTTGAAACATTTTTGACGTTATTTCACAGAGGCTGTACACACATGTACAAGGGAAATTTGGTTAGCTTGTATATCCTTTAAGATTCCTAGGAATGCCTAGGCCGGGCACGGTGGCTCATGCCTGTGATCCCAGCTACTGGGGAGGCTGAGGCAGGAGAATCGCTTGAACCCGGGAGGCGGAGGTTGCAGTGAGCCCAGATCACGCCATTGCACTCCATCCTGGCCAACAAGAGCAAAAAGTCCGTCTCAAAAAAAAAAAAAAAAAAAAAAAAAAAAAAAAAATTCCTAGGAATGCCTGTGATTCTCATGTTACAGCTACACTGCTGTTTTTGGATTTCCTGGACACTGATTAATTTCTTCCTCAAAACCAAGATGTTACAGGATGGAAGCTATAGGCAAACTATCTTTTTCACATTTGTGCAAGTTACGTCCAATTGTCTAAAATCAGCTCAATTCTATATATATCAAACCAAGAAATAAACTATTACAAACGCAAAACAAGGGAATAAGATGTGGTTCTGAGCAGGCTGACTTGATTGATATAATCTCGGGTTTCTCTTTTCCTATTACATGAAAAGGATGTGTAAAATGTTAATTATACTTACACTTTAAACCTGTTTGGGAAAGCAAGAGTAAGAAAAATAGAAAGCTACATTAGAACTATTGCATTAATAACATTTTAACATCTGATTTATTCTAAATCATGAATAATTTATACGTTAAATTCATAATGACAGAGTTAATGACAGACTAAGAAAACTAAGGATATCAATTCAAAAGGTGAAAATAGTATCGTTACCGTTAGAGTCATTCAAGCCATTAAAATATCCATAACAGAAAAATAAAGAAATGAACTACATAGAATAAGAAAACTGGATTAAAATGTAAATGTGAGAATTTCAACTCTAGTGGAAAAATGGAATATTAAAGATGACCTGACCTTTATAATTGGCTTCTTGGTTTACCCTGCTTGAAGAATATTACAGGAATGGAGAGAGGTAGCAAGCCCTGATTATACTCTTGGCTTCACTTTGAAGCTGAAGCTACAATTGGAAGGTCCTACTCTTGGGTAATAAATTTATGACAGTTTTTACATATTTGCTTTTTAGTTTCCATTCATAGAAAAGTTCAAAGGCATATCATTATATAAAAGGATAGCTATTCATTCTTACCTTATTTGCAAGCAAATATCAAGGTACAAATGTTAGGTCTTTAAATATTAGAATTTTACTTTGCTATGTGAGCAGAGAAAAACTCATTTTGTTTAATTATGTTAATCTATAAAAAGCAGTAACTAAATTCATATGGTATTGAGCTGATTATCAAACTAAAGGAGAATTAAATAATGCGTCTATAAATTATTTAAATATTAAACATCTCAAGTATTTGTTGTATTTCAGACTACCTTGTATAACATCCAGAGCGCTTCAGTTTTGATCATTGCATACTGTGCCAAATACAAGAATTTTTCTCACTGATTTGCTTGCTAGCAGGATATAATAAAGCTCCTTTGGAAAATAGTTAAGTGTAAAAAGATAACTGGTAATACGGAATGGATTTAACATTATAATTAATAATGGGTTGATGGCTTAATAATTTAAAACAATTTGTTCAGTATCAATTTTGTTCATCAGCTTTAGATTTAGCATATCAATTGATTGGTTAAGGACACATTAAGCTCCAGTATATCAACCTTAATGCTGTATTTGCAACTTCACATTGCTTTTGAGGTAGAAAATATTTCTGTAGTTTCAGGTTGGAATTACTTGAAAAGTAATGACCTGCTTGAAAAATATTAAAGGAATGGAGTCATGCAGCAAGCCCTAGTTATACTCTTGGCCTCACTTTGAAAACGGAGCTAGAATTGGAAGGTCCTACTTCTGTGTAACGAATTCATGATACTTTTTTTCATATTTGCTTTTTAGTTTCCATTCATAGCAAAGTTCATTCAGAGCATACATTTGGATTTTCAGGTTGGAATTACCTTACCTTATTCAATTCACAAGAAAATTTTAAGTATTTGAGAACAAAGATGACAGTTTAAGAATACATAAGGACTATTGGCTGGGCGCGGTGGCTCACACCTGTAATCCCAGCACTTTGGGAGGCTGAGGTGGGCGGATCACGAAGTTAGGAGTTTGAGACCAGCCTGACCAACATGGTGAAACCCCGTCTCTACTAAAAATACAAAAATTAGCCAGGTGTGGTGGCGCATGCCTGTAATCCCAGCTACTCAGGAGGCTGACACAGGAGAACAGCTTGAACCTTGGAGGCAGAGGTTGCAGTGAGCTGAGATCACACCACTGCACTCCAGCCTGGGCGACAGAGCCAGACTCCGTCTCCAGGAAAAAAAAAAAAAAAGTAAAGAATACATAAGAACTATTTTAGTATTTCCTCTGTAGGTAGTTTAAATGATGAATAGCAGTTCTACCATTATTTCTTATTGTTTATTACATAAAGTAATTTACATGATTTATTATTACTGTCTGCTATTTATTTTCTTTTTGTGGCACACTCAGGGCTACTTCTCTTCTTAATCAGCTCCCCAATTTTTTCAAGTCATTGTCTATAGAAATATACTTAAAATGTGTGGCTCTCTATCACAAAGCTTCCCCAGACCTAGTGTCAAAGAATATATTACTAACCTACTTCAAATATGGATGTTTAAATTAGTGATAATTACTTGACTACTCTAGATAAGTTAAATACAATTTTAAAATATGGATATTGTCAATGGATGCACTTGACTGCAGGAACCAGAAAAATTAAGAGCCTGCACAGCCAGAACATGCTGTCAAATAGTACACTAAAAACTCTGGCAAAGCACCCAGGAAGGAAGAAACCACATAGAAAATTACATCTTACATGCTATGATTTTACAATGCTTTTGCTAACACTGTGATCATTTGCACAAAGGCAAATTTAACAGTTTGGATAAAAACCTATCATGACAATGTCGCGAAGTTATTGACCTTCCTTTGGAGCTGGGCAGAGTGGGTATCCGCATATGACATTCCATTGCTTTTACCCCAGGATACCTGTTACCTTCTCTCCCAAGTTGGCTCTTAAACAAAAGAAGAGCATAAACAAAGCCACAGGAACTAAGGTGATATTTCTATTGAAAGAGACCGAATTAGAATCACAGGAATATTGGGCCATCAGTGAAAAATGTACTGGGAGTTTGTACTGTTTTCCTTTTGAAGAAAATCATTTGGTACGAGATAGACAGACAGATAAAGCAATCTCAGAGTAGTTGCACCATCAATATTTTACAACGCAAAGCCATGTTACCAGAGATGGTTTTCTGCAATGACTTCTGAGGAACTATCCAGGTTTACCATCCTTGAATACTTACTGTCTGTAGCTGACCAAAACCACCAAGATGGCAGGAATGCAGCAGAGGATGATGATGAAGGCCAGAGCCAACAAGGCCCCTTCTGTGTATCCTAGACTTTCTCCTCTCTTTTTAATGCTGGTCACTGCCTCTGGAGTCCGGATCTCCAGAATGCGTCCTCCTTCCCCATAATACGGCTGAAAGTCTTTATTGATATCAAGTAGTTTGCCATCCAAAAATCTTTATTGTTAGATAAATAGTAAAATTAATGATGCTAGCAGAGAAAGAGCATTTTAAAAATAAAATCTTTTTGTAAGATCTTTCAATATTTTCTCTAATTGAAACACAAGCTGAGTCAGAAGTCTCATGAATAATAAGAAAAGCATATATAAAAAGCATAAGCAATAAAGAAGAGGAGTAATTACACATCTGTATAGAAATATCAAAAATATTTTAAAACACAGCTCTTGATCTGCTTATAGACTTAAAAAATCTAATTATCAGTATCATTAAGCTTAATATTACTGTGTCAAAATAATTTAACAACATTTTAGATGGAATAAAATATAATATCCTAAATTATATACCATAGTTTATATTTATGCATTTTATCTCCTTGGGTCCTGTAACCTTCAGGATAACCCTGTAAAGATCAAACATTACAATACTGATTTATTGCAGGCCAAAAAGCTATACAGTTATAAAAACAAATCTGAGGCACCAAACTAAGATTTCAGACTCAAACTCTGTATTTGTTTGCCATAACACCATCTTAAAAGTAAACATTCTCAAGTTTCAAACCAAAAGAATGTTTTATGGTCAAATGGTGAAGACATTTAAAAGACCCTTCTGCCTAGGAAAAAAAGACTAAATAAATGATGCGAGTAGTATATCAGTGTTGTAAGAATGACAGGAAGTGGTAGTCAATGTAATTCCTTCCTCTAAATAATGCAATTCCAACTATGAGTCTTGAATTTTGGAAGAGAATCAAGGAATAATTATTCCTAATCTTATGAGATTGAAAAAATTTGTTATGTATTTAATATCATAATTAGCAGGTGATTTTTTAAACAATTCCTTGGGAACTTTTGAACAGTCCCTTATAAGCTCTACATATTGATGCAGCAACTGTGTTCTTAATACAACAACACCATAAAGGTCAAACGTCTTACTATAGAATATTGGAAAACAAAAATAGTTCAAGAAAAACACAATTACTCATAGTCCCATGATCTACAGACAGTCATAATCACTTCTAACATCTTGGTATATTTAAGTCTAATATTTTTTTGGAGGGGTGATATTAAATATTTTATATACTTGAGTATACTGCATATATAAAGTGCTTATGTTGAAAAATACAGAAAACACAAAAAAATGCAAAAGAAAAAATTAAAATGGCCCTAAATTTCATTATCAAAATATAATCAATGCCATGCTTGTGTACTTTTTTCAGTCTATTTTATGCCCTTTTGAGACATTTAATTTTAATATTCAGAGTGACCATGCTGATTTTAAATCCCGTTAACACACTGTTCATTGCTTAAAAATAGAAGTGCCTGGTATCACATATGAATTCCATCACATATGTAACTCATAAACTAATTCATATCACACATGTGGCAATTAGAATGCTTTTTTGCTTTTTTTAAACAGATACGCTTTTATAGATTAAAAATGTACTTTTTATAGCAATTTTCCAAGCTCATTGTTACACGTTAAAAGAAAATAAAAATTTAGCCATTTTTATGATTACTAGAAATAGAATAGTGAAACTTCTTGTTTGAATTGTTTATTAGATAAAGGAAGAGATTCTAAATGATGCATAGATCAAGAATTGCTTCACAGGAACTATATTATTAGAACAAGGAAGAATCAGATCCAGAAGAGGATCATTAATTTAAGGGAAGAATATACCCCTACAATGTGGAGTTCAGTTGACAGATCAAAATTCTATTGGATTCCTGGATTTCATATCCAAACTCTCTAAAGTAAGATTTGTTAGTCTTTTTACACTGCAAGAGCCCTATTACTTAGATACTTATTTTCACTTATCAATGTGATGTCATAAACAATTTTTTACTAGAAGGATGGATCACTTTTGAACCCACACCTGATCTAGACTATCTTTCTTTACTTTGTGTATTTAAAACAACTTGTCTGGGTAAAAATTCTTGAGTCATAACATTATCCCTTACAAAACAGCAAAATTGCTTCCATTGCCTTTTGTCATTTTATCATGCAAATGAGATATGCAGGGCTTACCTAATTTTTGTTCCTTTATGAGTAAGATATTTTTATTTCTGTTTCAGTGATTTTTAAACATATTCAGATACTATTCAAAGAAACATGGCTACCTTTTCATTGATTTTTGCCTGTAATATAATAAACTCTTGAATTCTTTTTTCGATTTTTTGCTTCTGTTATAAATACTACAATTTTAACCTCAGAAATAACTGTCATTATCAGGTTGTATTTTAATCGTCCTATAAATATATTTTGATCTCTTTTATTATTTATATGTTTTTTCCTTTTTCTTAATATTGCATAAATTTTCAATGGATACACTTCATGTTGTCAATTTAATTTTCACATGCCTTCTCATTTCAGGAAAGGTTGAATCCAGGTGCTCAATTGATTTTAGGAGATAAAATTTAATTTATAAATTAGGCACAGTAAGATATTAACAACAATAACTAATAACAAAATAGAACAATTATAGAACTATAGTGTAATAAAAGTTATGCAAATGTGGTTTCTCTCTGTCTCTGTCAATATCTTATTGTATTGTACCATTGGTAACTGAAACTGAAGAAAGCAAAACCACAGAAGAGGGTTGACTGCTATACTCCAGTTGGACTGAGGGGAAGGCACTTTAGATTAAAGACTACCACCGTGTAGGAAAGGGACAATTCTCACGAGAGAAAGTGGAATTCTTTTACCAGAAACAGGAGAAGGACTCAAGCCATGTAAAACACACACACCATTTCACCAATCCATACCATTCTGTTTTCTACTAAAAATGTTAAACTGTTTTCCAATGGTTTCTGTAGGAGAAAATTTCCAGAGTTATATATTCTCCCTCTGGGTCATCAGGTTATTATCTCCTGATTTTCCATATTTATTTTGTTTTTTAGTATTTATTGCTGATCCCGTTTTTCCACTGCTTACTTATCCTAAAAAAGAGATAGATCTGCCCAAATCCAGCATCAACACAGAAATGTGTTTTTTTTTTTTTTCTCGTCATTTTCATCTACAGTGTACTCAGTTACTATATGCAAACCTTTTGTAATTCTAAGGGAAGGGTATACAGGTCCCTTCCCAGGATGTAGCCAACATGAATTGATTACTGCTATGTTATCCTGAAATGAGATAAGTTGCTAAACCAATGTCATGTCTTATTATTTTCTCAAGCACATGCAAACATGTATTTCTGCCTCCATTGATGGATATGGGGCCTAATGTTGTGTTATTCAGCATATAATTAATAAATACATAATCAACAATCTACCCTGCATCTCACCTTCGTGACTGATTACCTTGATGATGATGATTTTGATACTGCAATGTACATATGAATGTAGAAATAAGTAAAGGGTGAGCAGGAGATTGTACTCTAGACAGTAGAGGGACAACTGTCTATTTCCTTTGTAGGTACACAATTTAGGCGTACAGAGTGGGCAGTGGTTAACATATCTACCTACATTCATTACACTGTATAAGATTTTTCTGCTTAATCAAGCAAATCATGGTTAGATCATCAACTATTTTCTTTTCACAGTTTCATAACTGTTTAACTAGATTCTAATAATTAGTATTCCATTGATTTGGATTTTCAGTATTTTGAATTTATATGTATAGTTTTTTACTTAGAACATTGAAAGAGGCTTTATCAGAGCCTGTTAATCAGATACCGTTTAAGGTCTAAGTGTGTTTTTAAACATTGTGGTTTAAAGGCAGTGTATAAAGTCTTTTTCTGCCTTCTCCATCTTTCTCTTACGATTTGGACATACTGTTTTTAAATAGGCTGGATATAAGACAGATAAACAAGCTAAAATGTATTTGCTTATTTTTAAATTTTAATTAAACTATATTTTAAAGTAGTGTGTTCTGTTTTGTGTAGAATGCAGAAAGCCACAAGAGAATATGGCTATTAACAGCAACAACAAAATGACAAAAAAGTGCCAGGTTATACTAAAATCATAAATTTCCTTGAGCTGAAGTCACAATGTGAGCAAAAAAAACCAAATTCCATTGAGTGACAATTAGGATAATTTCATGGTGAGATGTGACCATACATTGTTTCACCTTTGGCAGAAAAGGTTAAAAGTGGCTGCCATAGGCTGGGCACGGTGGCTTATGCCTGTAATCTCAACACATTGGGAGGCTGAGGTGGGATGATTACTTGAGCTCAGGAGTTTGACAGCAGCCTGGGCAATAAAGTGAGACCATGTCTCTACAAAAAACAAAACAAAACAAAACAGCTAAAATTGTAATAAATAAGGTTAGAATTATAGACACCCACAAACACAAGGGGAGTCTCCCCTCATTTGAAAACTTCTTTGCGTAGATTTCTGTAAGATAGATTGGGGGACAAGGCAGGACACAAGAGAATATTCCTTCATGGTGTAAGAATAGGAACAAATCAGCAAGGCTGGTGCACAGGCAGCAACCCTTGTGCAATTCCCCAGACCTTTATCTCAGATGAAACAAGGGCCGTAAGTATTAGAGGGAGGAGGAGGAAGTGTGCCCATCCCTGGTGCTCAGGCAAAGGTCTACTGCTTCTGGAAAAGAGGTATAAGCAAAAATCCCCTACCCCTGGGGGAGGAGCAGGAAGTCCTCTCAGGTGTAAGATCTTGCACCAATACAAAGTAGAGGTCTACTATGGATTGAGAAGGGGCAGAAAATTCTCTTGCACCCAAGACCCCCTGTAAATGTGAAGCAGAGGATGGCTGCCATGATGCCATAAGAAAGAGGGGGAAAAAATCTTGAGAAAGCCCATACCAAGGCTTACACATGCAGGCTGTACAAGGAGAACAGAGGAACCCCTATTCCATGACCCACCTCTTCCTTATAAGAGTGGAACCCAGCAGCAAGGAGGAGCAGTCTAACACTGTGGGACAGATCAGAGTGTGGGCAGAAACCTCTTCTGTGGCACAAGCATATAGAGAGCACTGAGAGCTGAGGACTGAGTAAGAAGACTGAGAAAACCCTACAGCACGCAGGCCTCTATTCTAAGACTGAGTTGACACCATTCCACCAATAAAAGAATTTTTGAAGCTTTTGGCACAGTGGAAGTAATAATTGCAACAGCAAAATCCAAATAATTCCTGAATAGCTTTACTTAACAGAGTAAATGTCTGTAATGTCCATTTACAGGCATAAACTCTATTTACCTCACTTCTTACTGTTCTTCCACACCATGTCTGGCATTCAATCAAGTAGGACACAAAAAGCCTACAAAATATAAAACAACCATTTTCAAGAAATGAAGTAACAGAGCCAGATAGAGATAACCCAGATATTGGAACTGTCAGACAGGAACTCTGATTCAACTCTGATTAATACATTGCAAAATAGCAGAAAGCACAAACATGCCTGAAGCGATGGAGAAATTCAGTAGAGTGGTGGAAATAAGAAATAATCTAATAGAAATGCTAGAAATATCTTTCTAAAAAGATAAAAAGATGAAGAATTTCTTCAGTGAGTTCATCAATAGGCTAACACAGATGAATCAGTGAATTCAAAAATAGGGCAGTAAATATTATTCACACTAAAATACAAAGAAAAAACTGTGTGTCTATGTGGGCGGGGGAGGGGAGCAGAGTCAGAACGGAACAAAATTATGAGAAAAATCAAATTGTAATTGGAATCCCAGAAAAGGAATAAAGAGAAAATGGGCATAAGAAATATTAGAAAAAATGTCTGAGAATATTCCAGAAATAAAAAAAGAAAAAACTCAAAATCAAACTCACAAAAAAATGCAGCTCCAAAGAGTTGAGAACTACAAGGATAAAAAAGCAGGATAAGAGTAATATATAATTATTGCATAAAATCTAAGCAATTCAGGTAACCAAAAATAAAAAAATTAAAATACCGATAAGCTGGCCAAACAAAATAAGTTATTAACATATCACTAAAAGTCATTCCAGTCCTGTCTATGCATTTATGAGCTTTTTTATTTTTGATTGCCAAAATATATTTTTTCAAATCAAAGTAAGTTCCCAGGACAAATTATTATTATGATGATTTCTAATCCTTTGACCTGAGCATTCCAACATCCTCAGAAGCTTAGATTTTAAGGTGAAAGGAAATTGAAAGAACACTTCCATTGACCTGGACCGGCATCTTAATGTTCTAGTACATTTATGCAGTGTTAAAAACTAAATAACCAATAACTCTCACAACTACAGAATAGATACCAATACTTGGGCACTGGCATTATCAGCCTTGGAAAACACACACACACACACACATACACACATATACACATGTATATGTATGTGTATACAATTTTATTATAAAATCTTTCAAGAAACAATTCTAGAGTTTCAAATAGACCAGTGACTCTAAGCTTACTATAATACTTCAAGGTGAAGACTGCTAAGGCAAAATTTTCATATTTCATGGCTATTCTATCTTTTCTTCAATATAAACATATATTATTTATTTATTTATTTATTTATTTATTTATTTATTTAGAGGCAGAGTCTTGCTCTCTTGCCCAGGATGGAGTGCAGTGGCATGATCTTGCTCACTGCATGCTCGGCCTCCTGGGTTCACGCCATTCTCCTGCCTCAGCCTCCCAAGTGGCTGGGACTACAGGTGCCCGCCACCATGCCCGGCTAATTTTTTGTATTTTTAGTAGAGACGGGGTTTCACCGTGTTAGCCAGGATGGTCTCGATCTCCTGACCTCGTGATCCACCCACCTCGGCCTCCCAAAGTGCTGGGATTACAGGCGTGAGCTACCGCGCCCGGCCAAAAATTTATTTTATGATTTATATATATTCTGTTTTTTCCTTGCCTGCTGGCTATGATAGTTATTTTATTGAATTTAGATGTTTACTGTCCATAATATAATTTAGGTTTGGAAAAACTTATTTAGAATTAATTAAAGATGTTCATCTTGTATTTCATGGTGTCACTTAAAACCCAAGTGGCTTTTTTTTCCCCAAATATTTAATCTCTAGAAGGTTTGCTAGTTAAATTCAAATTCTAATCACCATTATTTTACTCTTTAAAGTTAGCCCAAATATAATACATATTTTTATATTCAGGTAAAAACACCCTAAACTCAATCAATCGTGAAATTTAAAAACAAAACTAATGTATGCAAAAAACACAGAATGCAGGTAGATTCACATAAAAAAGAAATGTGTTGATTTTCTGACAATCGAAAGAATATATATGAATTACTTTGGAAGTTTATTCCTAAACTTTTTAAATTAATAAACTTTTTAAATTAATAAAACTTACAAAAAATTGGCTTGGTAGATCTAAATGTTGCTTCATTTTGGTGGTGACTATAAAATCAGAGTGCGAGCTATTACTTCATTCATCTATATTTCCTCCACGGTTAGTATCCTGTTTTGCACATGGCCCAAATATCTATTAAAAATGAATTGATGAGCCAGGCACGGTGGCTCACACCTGTAATCCCAGCACTTTGGGATGCCAAGGCGGGCGGATCACCAGGTAAGGAGATCGAGACCATCCTGGCTAACATGGTAAAACCCCGTCTCTACTAAAAATACAAAAAATTAGCTGGGCGTGGTGGCGGGCGCCTGTAGTCCTAGCTTCTCAGGAGGCTGAGGCAGGAGAATGGCGTGAACCCGGGAGGTGGAGCTTGCAGTGAGCGAGATTGCGCCACTGCACTCCAGCCTGGGGCACAGAGTGAGTCTCCGTCTCAAAAAAAAAAAAAAAAAAAAAGAATTGATGAGTAACATGTTAAATAATTATGGCTTTTAAAAAATTTTAGCTGATATTAAATCATTATTTTATTATTGCCAAAATAGAAGTGATGAAATTTTGTCGATGAACACATTTAAAATAAAACTAAATTCAGAATTTATTAATTTGAATAAAAATTGAATAGATATTTACAAAATAAATAAATTTACATACACATAATATAGATATATTTGTAAATGTGTATATGGATATGTTTATATGCTGTTTAAAAAGTATAGACAAAGAAAAACTAAATTATGATGTTTCACATATAGAGTTCGGCATGACTATATATACAGGCACATATAAACTATTATGATTGTATATCAATATATATTTTTAACTAAAAATGTTTCATTGAGATAGAATTTCATTACAAGACCCAGTTGGACACTAGGTGTCACCAGAGTAAAGAAAATTCTGTTAACAATTTTTTTTTTTTTAAGTATTTAAGTGTGCTCGAATAACATCCAAAGAAAGTAAGTAGCAGGATTTTCTTTAAGATTCTGCACTTTATTTATTTTTAGGATTTATAACTCAAATTTTTAAGTTCCTGCTAGGATGAAATTTCACATAGAGCATGAACTTAAATGGGAATGATTATCCCACCTGCTCTCCACCTGTAAGTTAAAGAAAAAAGCAGATATTGATTTTTGCTGATTTAGTAGACCTGTAAGAAAGGTGGATTTCTTCTTAAAATGCAAGCATATGAAAATCATTGCAGAAAAACTGCCTCTTTAAGAATCTGTGCTTTCCTCATTAATAGCCAGTGCCCTTGAGCAAGAGTGAGGAGCTGGCAGCAGGTGATTTCAAGGAGCTGTTCCTTGTTCTTAAGTACAAAAGGTCATCTGATGCCCATAAAGAAAATGGGCCCTCTGAAGTCACTGTAGCCCACACTTAGACCTGAAAACTTTAAGGCATGAGAATCCTAGGTATTTCAGGTTCTTTGCTTACACTTCACTTTCAGTAACTATTTGGTGGGTTTTAAACTTTAAGTACTTATAGCCTCAAGTCAGAATCATCTATGGTTGCTATTGTAACCAAAGAGCTGTTACAGATAACAAAAAGCACTTACTTAAAAAGCTCATTTCTATCGATGGCTCTGTTGGTTTGGGGGTCAATTGCATAGACAGTCAAGTCACATTTGGTGTAATCTTCTAGGGAAAAGGCATCTCCATGCCGGCGAGCTCCAATGGACTCCACTACGACCTTGGCACCAGGAATTTGTTCCTGAACATAGCGATCCAAGATCCTATAAATCAAACAAAGTACAAACATGACAGTCCAATGGGCTTTCTGGGAGTAAAAAATTACTCTTAACTTGAAAAGACATTTAGTAAATGAAAAATGATGACAGCCTAGTTTTTTGTTAATGTTTACTGAATATAAACCCTTGAAAAACATTCTCTATATTTTTTCAGCATTTAGCTCCCAATGATGCTAGAAGCTGAATACGGTAGAAAAGGTCACCAACCATGTCCTATTTAACTTTAGGCTTTTTGAATTTATGATACTATTTGAGCTTTTACATGAGAAATGCCAAATATGCTGTACAAATAAAGCTGTCTATGCTTTATAGGAGGCATGGGGTCTTAGAACCCTTGACTTCACATGGTTGGTGTCATAAATTACATCTCCCACTAAAGTCTGTGACACATGACACGTAGCTATATGCTAAGAAGCAGGACTAGGATGCCTGTTTTCCCAAAGGTATAAAAATCCTTGCAGAATCACAGCAACGGGAGAATGTGGAGATATTTTGCAATGGCAGGATTACCACGTTAAGATAAAAATATGGCATGCAAATCTCAGACACTATTTAGGTGAATAAAAACAACATATACCATCTGGTATAAATTAGTGATATTTAATTTAAAAAGCAGAGACAATATTAATCAATAAGTAATTTTCCCATCTCATGACTGGATTTTAATTGAAAGTATGAATTATTACCATTTCCCAAATGTCTCATTCCTTATTAAAAACTTTATATTATTAACCCAAGTATATAAATATTAAGAGCATATAATTCAGTATTTACAGATGTTTAAATTTAAATAATTTTAATTACTATATATGATAAATATTCTAAAATTCGTAGACTCAATGCTCTTTTCTGAGTCTATATTTTGAGGTTTTTTTAGGGGGAGAAGGGCAATATATTCTAAAGTCCTTTGATACATCAGAAAATAACTTTTGCTTCTAATGCCACAATTGACATATTTCTTGCTCGACTGAAAGTATATTCCCTTAAGAGTCTTGTATGTGCTTGGTTTGCCTTGTTATTAGAACAATGAGGTTACTAAACTTTGGAGGAAATGGCTCTACCAGTGCATGCCAGGAGACACTACCAATCATAGTGAAATGTTTGCTTGCTTGTTTTTAAATGTTTGTAACCCAGTACTGTTGAAGTCTGTCTTATTGAAGTACTATTCATTATTTTCCTTTTCTGTCACCACTCCACGCCCACTGGTCTCTCGGCTTCGCAATTTCTTTTCTGATGACATCCTTGAAGTAGACTAAGAAAAGATGATGTGTAAAAAAGGAGGAGGAGCAAATTCACTTGGAAAATATCAGTTAATAGTTGAATGCCTGCAATTCCAGCTAGTCGGGAGATGAAACAGAAGAATCGCTTGAACCCGGGAGGTGGAGGTTGCAGTGACTCCAGCCTGGGCGACAGAGCAAGATTTTATCTCCAAAGGGAAAAAAAAAAAAAAAAAACAACCCCGGGAACCTGAAGATAATGGATGTACTGAGAGACACAGACTAGTCTAACATCATTTGGACTGTGTTTTTCAGATTTTTTTTCCTGAGAGATTTATGCTCATTTAACAAAAATAAGAGAGGCCTCGGAGTCAAACCATATTATACTCTTGACATTTTGTAGGAGGCACAAACAATAATGATATAATGTTGAGGAGTACAGATGTCTGGCTGGCTTCAATTTTAATTTCCTTTGCCTTTCAATTGCATAACCTTAGACAAGTAATCTTAAGCTCTCAAAGTCTCAGGTTTGTTTGTTTGCTTTTTGAGATGGAGTCTCATTCTGTCGCCCAGGCTGGAGTGCAATGGGGCAATCTCGGCTCACTGCAACCTCCACCTCCCGGGTTCAAGGGATTCTCCTGTCTCACGCCTGGATTACAGGCATGCACCACCACACCTGGCTAATTTTTGTATTTTTTAGTAGAGACAGTGTTTCACCATGTTGGTCAGGCTGGTCTCAAATTCCTGACCTCAAGTGATCCGCCCGCCTCGGCCTTTCAAAGTGCTGGGATTACAGGCATGAGCATCACATCTGGCCATGTTTCCTTAAATAGAAAACAAGGAAATAATGTACCACATGGGGCTGAATGTGCATTCGGTGAAATAAAGCTTTTACACAGTTCCTAGCACATAGTAACTATTCAACAAAATGAATCTTATTTTTATTAATTTGACTGAAATATTTCCATTAATAAGCTTCTTCCTTGTCTCAAATTCATTCAAGGCCTTTAATTAATTTGTGGAATAGGAAAGTATACTTCTCACTAGTATAATCAATCAGTTCACAAATCAAAACGCAAACAGGAGTACCTAGTTAAATACAATGCAATAGATGGCTCTCTGTCCCAATACTTTGGTCTAACAATTTATGCCTTCTCCAGTGCATTTTGGCATTGATTTGACATGTTCCAAGGAAATCCTTCATATAAGCATAGATTAATTGTGTGTGATCCTACAGTGAAGAAACATATCTATTGTGCTTGGGTTCTTTTCTATTTTCAGTGCAATACTGCAGAATCATTTCACTAAAAAAAATAGATGTGGAATAAAATATAACTGTACCAATTCCTTCATGGTAGCAGGGAATCATGAATAAAAGAAGTCTAAAAACAAATTATGTCATTTAAAACATGCAATAATGTCTTCACTTTGAGCATTTTTTTGTTAAACTTTTAAAGATCTTTTGGGACAAAGTATATCTTATGATAAAAAGAGATATAGCCTAATCTTAACTGCTTCTGTATCTTTTTCTTATAAATGTAAGTAAAACTAAATACCTTTTAATTGAGAACACATTTCATAAAAATCTATCTTTTCATTTATCATCTATATCTATATACTAAGTATTTTCTACATCTATATTCATTACCTATATGTATATAAATTTCCTCACATATATACATATACCCCCACACACACAAAGAAAAAGAGATTTGCAATGATGTTTATCTAACCCATAATATTTGTATCATACACACACATATCAAGAAAGATGTCCATAATGATGTTTATGTAATGTTAATAATGCTTAGAGCTGGATGGTATGATTTTGAGTTTACCTTTTATAACTTTCTTCTTCATATATTATATTGCTTATATTTCTTTATAATGGGAATAAAAGAACAATATAGTTATATTTTTAAAAAATCTCCTTAACTCCCTATTTCCTCTCCCCAACTTCGTGATAAAAAAAGTCTTCATATAAATCTATATTTTCTAGTTTAAAAATGAAAAAAATTAAATTGGATTCAGGGCTTTTCATAAAATTATAGCAAAACTCACTCAGGGAAGTGTTAAGTAGGAAAATTTTCATTTATTCATTCCTTCAACAGATGTTTATTCAATGCCTATCCTGGGCCAGAAGCCATTCCAGACACATGGAATACATCAGTGAACAAAATACAATCTTTGATGTCAAAGAAGAATTTACATTCAAATTGAACAAGACAAGTAACAGATCATGGATTGATAAAATTGGTAAAAGTGTTCAGAATAAATATCATTGAGACTTTGATATTTGAGCAAAAACTTTAGGGAACAATGTGTGCTGTGGCTATTCTAGGAATGAGTGTTCTAAGAAAAGAGAATTGCTAACTGCTTGTATAAATGTGCTGATGTAGTAGTGTGTGGCCAGAGCAGATCACGTGGGGACTTTGAGGATTGTAAGAGCATTGTTTTTTGTTCTGAGTGAGATAAGAATCTGTTGCTGGTTTTGAATACTAAAGTAATATGATCTACCTTACATTTAAAGGAGGCACACTGGTTGCTGTGTTGAGACTAGGCTGAGTAGAATCAGGAAAACTAGTTAGTAAAGAACTTAAGTACATGAAGGTTCATTAAATGCTCAGCCTACTCAATAATTTAGAAGAAAAGACACAACCCAATCCATGACTATTAGCCATATGAAATAAAATATAAATATCAGAGCAGATATAAGCAAAACTTTGACCAAAAAGAAAACACAAAAAATCAAGAAACAGAAAATTTGCTTTTTTGGAAAAAACATGATATGACCATAAAAACAGACACGTACACCAATGAAACAGAAGAGAAAACTCCAAAATAAATCCACACTCTTACAGCCAATCATTTTTGACCAAGATGTGAAGAACATACACTGGGGAAAGGACAATTTTTAATGTATGATGATAAGAAACTGGATATCCATATTCAGAAAAATAAAAATAGATTCCCATCTTTTTCTATGTACAAAAATCCACTCAAAATGGATTAAAAGCTTAAACATAAGACATAAAACTGTAAAACTACTAGTAGAAAATATTGGGAAGAGACTTCAGGACATTGGTGTGAGCAAAGATTTTGTAAGACTCCAAAGAAATATAAATTTTCCAATGAAAGCAAAAATAGGCAAATGGGATTACATTAGGCAGAAAAGCTTTTACACAGCAAATGAAACAATTGTCAAAGAGACAACCTATAGAATAAGAGAAAATATTTGCAAACTATCCAATCAACAAGAGATTAATAACCAGAATATATAAGGAACTCAACAGATAAAAACCAAATAATCCAATTTAAAAATGGGCCAAGGATCTGAATAGACAATTCTCAAAAGAAGATATACAAAGAGTCAATAGGCATATGAAAAAATGCTCGACATCACTAATCATCAAGGCAATGAAAATCAAAATCACAATGAAATATTATCTCATCCCAACTGTAATTGCTATTGTCAAAAAACAAACAAACAAAAAATAACAAATGCTGTAAGGATATGGAGAAGGAGGAACATTTATACATTCTTGGGGGGAATGTAAAATAGTACAGCCATTATGGAAAACAGTATGGAGGTTCCTCAAAAAACTAAAAATAGAACTATAACATGATTCAGTAATCCCACTGCTAGGTATACATCCAAAAGAAAGAAAATCAATATATTGAAGAGTTATCTGCATGCCTATGTTTATCACAGCACTATTCACAGTAGTCAAGATATGGAATCAACCAAAATGTTTATCAACAGATGAGTGGATAAAGCAAATACAGTATATATATACAATCAAATATTATTTAGCCATAAAAAGAACAAAATCCTGTCATTTGCAGAAACATGGAAGAAACTGAAGGTTATTATGTAAAGTGGAATAAGCCAGGCAAAGAAGAAATATCACATATTCTCATTCATATGTGGGAGCTAAAAAATGGATCTCATGGAGGTAGAGAGTAGAATGGTGCTTACCAGAGGCTGAGAGGGGAAGAAAGATGGGGATAATGATAAAATGGTTAATGGATACAAAAATACAGATAGAGAAAATAAATAAGTTATAGTATTCAACAGTACGGTAGGGAATTTATAGTTAAAAATAATGTGTTGTATATTTCAAAACAGCTAGATAAGAAGAATTGTAATGGTCCCAATACAAAGAAAAATATTGGAGTTGATGGATATTCCAATTATGCTGATTTATCAGTACACATTATATATATATGAATCCAAATATCACATATATCCCAAAAATATGTACAACTAGGTTATATCAATAGTGTATGTGTATACACACACACACACACACACACACACAAACAAAAAAAGAATTAAAAAATGAATGCCAAAAATTTCCCTGAATCTGACTTCTTGGTAGCAATATACGTATTTAAAATGCAAATAGTACAATCAAGTATGAAGCAAAACAGTATCTGATTATGTCGAGCATTCTCAAAACAGAGAACTGGCTGTGATTGGTCTTCTAAAAAGTGAAAAATATGTTAATAAATTTGGATGATAATTACAATTATTGAATAAAAATTACATTTTAAGGCTATATTGTTCCACTTTACTTTGAATGCTCTCTAACATACTCCTGTTAATGTCTATTTAATTATGTCACCTTTAGGAAAAGTTTTAAAAACAGAAAACTTCTAAAGAAATACGTTAATATAGCTAATACAAACATTTTATGTAACATATGTTAGTATAGTACCACATACTAATTAATGTCCAATACAAAACAGTTTATCTAAATAACCTTCTTAGAATAAATGCTGAAAGGTTTATTTAACTGATTTTTTTTCCTATGCAGATAGCATTATTTTAAAATCACAAACTAAGGGTGTCAATAAACAATTGGTTCGCTTAACTTACTTATTCTTGAACCAAGTTATTTTTGGTAGATGCTCTAAATTTCAATTTACAGCATTACCTTATCCAGTTACCTGTATATACATCTTCAATTAGTTTCAACTAGAAATTGCATTATGAAAAACTGTAGTGTAAGGTGTTTACTGATAGTTTTATAGCTGGGACAGGTATTTACTCATGGTTGATTTAGCTTTTTATTTATTTTTTTACACTAAAATTATTACAGCAGCCATAATCTCAATTACCCATTTGTCTGTGTGAATGAGTTGAGTTAAAATTACCATGTGATGAGAATTTCTGGTTTTGCATGCTCAGTTTACTCCCAAGAAAAGATGGGTTGGGTTTTTAATTAGGTTTGCCTCCTAAGAGGCAGTGTAACAGAGGAAACTCCATCTGCTGGTGGCTGGTAGACGTAGATTAAAATTAAACCTCCATTATTGTGTCTTTGTGGAAATTACTTAACTTTTCAAAGTTTCAGGGAATTTATCTGTACAGTGGGAAAAGTAGTCAAACCTACCTCAAAGGTCCTCTGTGATAGGTTAAGGAGACTACACCCATTAAATGCACAAAAATCTAACCAATATGAAGCGTGTCATAAATGTTGGCTACCTGTTGTGATGGTTACAAGAACTCTTCAGATTTCATGATTATAAACCCTACTTAGGCTTTTGTTGAGGTAAATGGCTTATATTTATCTAGCATCATAGAGAGTTCCACCCCAAGTGCTTATCAATATTTTTACACAAGCTTAGCTAAATTAATCAATAGGCATTGCAGCTGGCTGGAGGGATAAAAATACAGGCATACAGTTCCTACTGTTCTGAACTTCTTTCCTCCATTAATACAGACCCACAGGGACTCTACCCAGACCATATCCTAAGTAGTGCTCTAGATGCCATGGAGCATTTTGTTCATTACATTACATGGTAACCTCTCTGTGGTATCCCACAAGATAAAAATATTTTCCTCTAATCTGGAATTAGACTTTGAAAGAGTTCTTTTGTCCCAGAAGAGATATGGTTTTGTTAATTTTGTAACTGAGTCTGTTCTTTTTGTTTAGCTTGTTTGCTTCTTTCACTTTGGCCCTAACAAGGTGACAGTCAAGTTTGTGACTACTCTATATGGACTATACAGGCCTTTGCAGCATCTCTGTAATTACTTACTCTTACTCTGATCCTTTCTTTAACTTCTTTCTCATCTGTTTGCTTTATTTTTCTACACTCATTTTTAATGTATTTTACCTTTTTTTCTGTGTGAATCATTGTAAACTACTTCTGTTTTTCTTTGGAATAAGGTAGAAAATTAAAACAAAATTAAATTTAGCCTTTAATATTTATTAGACATATATGGAAGCATCTAAAATATAATTTATGACTTTCTGATACAAACGGAATTCTCTTGCATAAACATTTTGTGGAGTTTATGTCTCACATTAAAAAACAGCAGTACAGACTGCGGTAAATTGTGAATAAATTGAAGAAAGTATAGAAAAGAATAATAAATAGGATTAAGAGAACAGAGGAATTGACTCTTGATGATTAAAGTGGCCTCTAAAGGAAGTGATATATCTACCTTGTACCATGAGTTGGGGTGAATTACAAAAATAACAAGCTGTTCAATTTGACAAAACTTCTAGGTTATAAAAAAAAAAAGAGGAGGAAGAGAGGAAATAATTTTAAAAGAAATAAATGTCCACTATGTATTTTAGAGATCTCCATAAAGCAACTGTGATTCAAATGTTTTGATAAAATAATATATAATGATGTCCTTATTTTTACACTACAACTATTTTCTAGTTATTTTCTACTTGGTACAAGCAAAAGATCTTAAAAATAAACTGAACTGAATGATATTTGAGGGGAGAAAAACAGATTATAATACAAGTTAAGATTAACCGCTCAATCTTTCTTTGCTTTTCTTCCTAATTTCTAGATCTTAAAATAAAAACATAAATAAAGTTGTCTGGAAATGTTTTTTTCCTTAGTGTTTTATAAGTGAATTTCACTTTTGAACATGAATAACCCCTTACCTTCAAATCTCAGGAAAAAATATACCTGTATCAATTATTTTTTCTCCATCATAAGTTGATAAGAACATTTTAAACACTTTAAAATTTTGAAGCACAATTCAAAGATTCAGTTAATATACGGGTACCTTCATTACGATGATTCATTGTGCATTAATTAATTTTATTTCTTTAATGTATCTTTCGATCATGCTATTTTCTTAAACAAAATAGTTTCCCCAAAATTTTGTTTGTATTATTTTCATAGTGCAAATAAAGGCAACATAAACATATTTATCTTTGATTTAAAACTAAACACATAGTGTTTTTAATTGATCTTCCAATAAAATATATTTTTAATCTGGGAAGATCTCATTTATCTCTTTTTGAAAACAACAATAGCTCAAAGATTTTAAACTTTTTTCACCTAAAAGCAAAATGAAAATGTCCTCAATGTTCATTTATTTGTTTGTTTGTTTTGGCTTTCCATTGTCTCCAAAAGTTTGAATACTAAAAAAGTAAAAAAGATAAAAAGTAGAAAGAATATTGATTCTGACAAAATACACCACCTAAATGTAGCAGCCCTGCCTCATTCTTTAGTTTTTAATCTTTTTTTTTCTATGTTGCTGAGAAGGCATGGAGAAAGTGTGCAAATATGATTTCTTTTTTTTATATTACATCTCTCAGATGGCAAGTGTTAACTAAGAAAGTTGATTTATTTTGTATATGTATATATATTTTTTCCAAACAGAAGCTGTTATAATAGACTATAAGCATTCAGAAATGTGTTAATGAATGAATGAATGACGACCATTAAAATAAGAAACATATCTATCTGAAGCAAACATGTCAGCATACAGGACCCTTTACGGAATCAATATGCAATGGAATCTTAAGAAAAAAAGTAAAACCTACTTGATAAGTGATTTGCTTTTGGTTAACTTTGCTTATAGAAAAATATGTACAAATTGGCCGGACGCGGTGGCTCATGCCTGTAATCCCAGCACTTTGGGAGGCTGAGGCAGGCGGATCACAAGGTCAGGAGATCTAGACCATTGTGGCTAACACGGTGAAACCTCGTCTCTACTAAAAATATAAAAAATTAGCCGGGCATGGTGGCGGGCACCTGTAGTCCCAGCAATTCAGGAGGCTGAGGCAGAATGACATGAACCCGGGAGACGGAGCTTGCAGTGAGCCGAGATCGCGCCACTGCACTCCAGCCTGTGCGACAGAGGAAGGCTCCGTCTCAAAAAAAAAAAAAAAAAAAAAAAGAAAGAAAGAAAAATTTGTACAAATTTGGAAAATCCAAGTCATACAAAATAAAAAAAAGCTTACCTTAATATACGTGAAATATATTATCAGAGACAAAACACTAATTATTGTGACTTTGAGCCATGTGACAGATGATTAATCCTTAAAGTAAACAATTTACTCATATTGGGCTAAGATAACATTCCTCCAAATAATAACTAAGAATCCACGTAAAATAAAACCTTTTAACTCTCAAAAATAGAACAGAACTGAAAATCATGGAGCACCTTAGTTTATAATCATCTTTGTTCCATGTGATTATTTCAATACTAAAGTTTTGGAAACAATTAAAAATCCTGCCATATTTAACTAAAAACAGAATTTTAAATCTGTGCTTTTTCTACATTTCAAAGAGTTAAGCATTAAAGATGCTACTGCAATGTGCACAAGGATTATTATAAAATAGTAGCTTTTAATTGTATAATTGCATATTGGGGTATCTTCAGTTCTGTAAAGAACTATGATTTCTTTAATCATAATTAACCTAATGAGTTAAAGACAAGTCATTCTTCTTGTAAACAGAGGTTACTTCTCTACTAAATAATGCTCCAAATGAATATTTCAAAAAGTAGCAAATAAATTTTCTTTCTGTCAAAACAATGAATTTCCAAGGCTTTGAATAAAGCTTAGTCACACTTAACCTTTTTTTAAAGAATAGTAAATTATACCTTGAATAATAAATGGTAGGATTTATTATTATATTTCTGGTTTGTATTTTATTTTTATGATTGCTTTTAGTTTATTTTATAGCTATTACATTCCTATTACAGAAACATTATTTTCAAAAATTGTACTATTAAAATGGGTGTGCTGCATTATCTGATAAAAATTAAATCATTCATGGCAATTCTCTGTTGATAATATCTTCAACTCCAACTATATCTTTATGCTAAGTATGCTGAGAGAAAATTGGCATGTAATAGACAATACAGCAATTTAATTGTAGAATATGGCAGCTAGGGAGAAGACTACATAACAAAAGAAACTCTTAAGGTATCTAGTGGCTACCATATTGAACAGATGGGTCTAACTAAGGACTTTCCATCTCACACAGAATAAAACTTGAAATCGTCCAAGTGATCTATCAGGTCCTAGAACTGATTTTCTACCATGATATCTATATTTTAATAAGCCAAGCATGGCTCTTTCTCTGGGTTTTCATAACTGCAGTTCTCTATCAGGAATTGTGCCTCTTCCTCTCTCATAGTCAAACGACTTTTTCCATCACTTAATATAGATGTCTTCTCAGATTTCAACTTATCAGAAAGGCTTTCTTTAACCATCCTATTTAAAACAGCACCTCTCTTCCAAAATTTTCTACTTGATACTTGTATTTATCTGTCTTTATTACAGTTATCACTACATAACTTAATATTACATATTTATTAATATTGTTATTTTATATGCCATTTTTATGCAATCGAATAGAAGCTCCATGGCAGCAGGGACTTCACACTGTTCACTGATAATCTCCAGTGCTTACAATCTGTAACTATTTATTTTTTAACTAATAAATCCCCAGCTCTAAGATACAAATGCAAAAACTCAAAGAGTTTGATAGACTGGCCCAAGACTTCCTAGCTAGTCTTTGGTGGTCTGGGAAATGAGCCTAGGTTCTCTGAAACAAAAAGGAGCTCAAACTTTCCCCTTAAAACCAAGTTTTTATTACATTGATTTAAGAAAATGTGCTAGCAGTTAGCGTTTCATAGGTATGCTTCCCGAGAGACCTTCTAATTATCCTCCTAGAAATATATATATATATATATATATATATATATATATATATATATATATATATATTTACACACACACATATATACATATATACTATACAAATAAATAAATTCTATATACGTAATATATATCCTGGCTACATTTCTAATGTAGGTTTTGTAACCTTAATTCTAGGAACTATAGATTGATTACACAGCACATTTCAGGTGCTACATAAATATTTCATAAAGTTGAGGCTCTTCCTCATCAAGTCAGTAACTACTTCAGTAAAGCTCTACTATAATTGAATTTTCATATTTTATTCAGAAGGTAAGAGATGGGTTTGAGCAACTCTGAGAAATAAGTTGTCAGTTCCGATTCATACAAAAATACTCTAACTCAGTGTTTCTAAACTCGAGTTTATAATTTTCAAAATATCTCTTTTATAGATGCTTAAGGATTTAAATTTTAGAACCACAGATTCCTCTTATTTGAGTTTCATGGTGAACTGGGAGTAGAAAGAAGTTATAAAATGCAAACATTTCATAGTTTCTTCTTTAGACAATTATTTGCCAATTATTTGTCCATTGTAGTTACGTGTCCCTACTGTTATTCTCACAGCTGTTTCTCCTATACCTTAATTTAAAAAAAAGTAATTTAAAAAACCACAAGCCTTACAAAGAGGTGAATTCTAAGATCAACTTAAAATACGTCAGAGCACAGATATTCAAGGGTATCTGTAGTGGATGCAGATCCTCACTGGAATTTGTTGAATATATTAATCTAATTAAAAAGGTATATGTTTCCTTACTTAGGGGAATTGGTCAATTTTATAAGCTTAAAATCTAAAAAGTAGTAAAAAATTTTCAGTATAGTCATTTCAGCTGATTCAGTGAGGTGAGGAGTAATCATTACAGCAGCTAAGATTTATTACAAGCATTCCATTTTCCAGGTACTGCGGTCTTAGCTATCAAAGTGTACTGATCTTTGTAAAATCTGCTCCATTGTAAAATGGATATGTCAGGTCATTATTTTTCCTTTCATCAAGTGTCCTCATTTGTACTGATTACATACTTACCAAGGAAACTTTATATTTTTGCCTAAAATATTGGTCTACCAAAAAAAAAAATGATCACATGACATTCCAGTTTTCCACTTCATCGGATAGGGATGTCTCAAGGGAAATATAGAAATGGCTTTGATGATAACTAACTTGTCACCTAAGAATGTCACAGGGAATTAATGTGTTTACTGGTCTCGTCACTAGAACAATAAATTCTTCTATTTAATTAACTATTTGGCACCCCGATGGCTACCTGAGTTATGTGTGTATTTTCATCACTCATCCCAGACATGGATAGGGGGAGCACTGGGGCTTCACAGTGCTGACTCAGGTCTTACAGTTCTTATCACTACCACTTCCATCTACTAATGTAGGTTTCAAAAAGAGATCAGAAATATTTCTGCTTAAGAAAACTCTAAATTTACATAGGTTTTAAAAAAAATCTACAAAATGAAATCAGACATGGAAGGGACAATTTCTTAAACAACTAGTATTGAAAAAATGGAATATCCATATGTAAAAAAAAAAAGGCTGGACCCTTATCTTACACCATATACAAAAATTAACTCAAAATGGATTAAAGATCTAAATATAAGACCTCCAAACCATAAAATGCCTAGAATAAAACGTATGAGAGGTGTTTTGTAACACTGGATTTGACAACGATTTATTGAATATGACACCAATAGCACAGGAAACAAAAGCAAAAATAGACAGATGGACTACCTCTGACTTTAAAACTTTTTGCCCAATTAGTGACACAATCATCAGGGTGAAAAGGCAACCTATGGAATAGGAGAAAATATTTGCAAATCTTACATCTGATAAGGGATTAGTATCTAATATCTAAACAACTCCTACAACTAAACAACTAAAATAAATCAAGTAACCCAATTAAAAATGTGCAAAGGACTTGAATAGACATGTTTTAAAAGATGATATACAATGGCCAATAGCACCTGAAAAGATGCTCATCATCAATAACCATCAGAGAAATCAAATCAAATGACAATGATATATCATCTCACACATTAGTATGGCTACTACGTATAAAAAAGGAAAAAGAACCAGAAAATAAAAAGTGTTGATAGGAGGTTGAGAAGTTGGAAAGCTTATGCACTGGTGGTGAAATTGTAAAATGGTGCAACTGCTATAGAAAACAATTTTCTTTAAATTAGAACTACCATATGATTTAGCAATCCCACTTCTGAGAATGCACTCAAAAGAATGAAAGCAGGATATAAAAGATATATTTTAATATTTATGTTCATAGCAGTATTATTCACAATATCCAAGAGGGGGAAACAACCCAAATGTCTATTGAGAGGTGAACAGATGAACAGAATGTGGTATGTATTGAGAACTATTCAGCTCTATAAAGGAATGAAATTCTATCACATGCTAAGCTGTAACATGGATGAATCATGGGAATATCATGCTAAGTGAAATAATCCAATCACAAAATGAGAAATACTGCAAATTTCCACTTTTATGATGTATTTAAAGTAGTAAAATTTATACATGTAGGAAGACAAAAGGTTGTTACCCAGAGTCTAGGGGTAAGGCTGGAATGGAAACTTGTTTAATGGGTACCAAATTTCAGTTGTGCAAAATGAAGAAGTTCTGAAAATCTATTTTGAAACAATGTCAATATACTTAAAACTACCAAACTGTACACTTAAAAATGTTTAAGATGGTAATGTTTATACTATGTTTTTTAATCACAACAAAAGGAATGGGGCATGTATGTGCTGCTTAATAAACTCGCAGATTTATATTTAATTCTTTTAAAATCAACATGAGATAGAGGTCTTTATTCCAATTTTCATGAAGAATAAAAGTGGCTCTAGGTGCTAAGTAGCTTGTCCAGAGGTTACAGAGCTGTAATAGGATCTAAATCTCTGTGTCTGAAACCATAATCTGCATTCCATTACCAAATGCTTAATAAATAAAATGTACAAAACTCCTAGCCACTCTCCACCTAAGTCTACTGACTTTGAGCTGCTAGCTCCATTTATATGGAATATTTACCATTCACCGAATAGTCATACTTTCTATTGTCCTAGATACATTATATAATTCAGTTTTCAAAATAATTCTATATGTTTTATTAGCTCTTAACAGTGAAACTGAGGTTGAAAAGATTAAATTATTTGCCCAATTTCATGTTTTAAATCCAAAGTTTTATGAAGTCAGAGCTTCCTTCACAATGATACGATTCTCTCAAGACCTGAAAGTTACCTGATTTTTCCTATTTATATCATCCTATCTACTTAAGAAGCATTAAAATCTTATAAATTCCTGCAAAACTATACTTTTGCTATTTTCTTTTTCAGTTTGATAAATTTTGTCTCAAAATAAAGAAAATGGCATCATGATTTGCTTGTAAAACATCCTTTCAATAAAATGTATCAAGTGTCTACTATATAACTGGAGTTATAGAAATAAAACACAAGTCTCATACATTCGTAGAGATAATATTCTAGTGGAAATTGACTATAATAATAACATTAGATAATGCTTTGTAGAAAAATAAACTAGAATAAAGGGTTAAAATTTGAAGCTGGGTATCATTTCTTACATAATAGACAACGGAATCAGAGAAAGCCTGTCTCAATAGGCTTTTATTAAAGCAGCTAAAAGTTAGGCACAATTCTAATTATTTTTAAAGTATAATCAGCTATTATTTTGAAAAGGCTCAGTGTATATAAACTACTTCTGCAGAAATAAACAAGACACTGTACAATTGATATTCCATGCATAAATGTTGATAACCATCACCCTCATAAAACAATTTACATGACACCAAAAGGTTAAATTTGTGAACTATCCTGAAATAATTGTTATGAATCATATATGCTTTTCTTATGGGAAAATCACATATGCTTTAATCCGTGCCTACTGTATTTTATTTGGCATATAATTACTAAAAGTTTAGTTATCTGACTCTTTAAAGCTTCTTCTGGCAAGCTGAAGTGATGATATTTTGCTAAAGAGGCAAATTGACAGTGACGATAATTGACCTCTGTCAAACTGAAATCAACAGAAGACACAGAAGAACAACCTAATGCAGGCAGAGCTTAAAACCTAGACAACGGGTTGATAGGTGCAGCAAACCACCATGGCACATGTATACCTATGTAACAAGCATGCATGTTCTGCACATGTATCCCGGAACTTAAAAGTTAAAAAAAAAGGTGATATGTATATATATATATATATGTATGTGTGTGTGTGTAATGAAATAGTATTCAGCCATAAAAAGGAACAAAATAATGGCATTTGCCATTATTGGAGACCATTACTCTAAGTGAAGTAACTCAGGAATGAAAAAACAAACATCATATGTTTTCACTCATAAGTGGAAACTAAGCTATGAGGACTCAAATGCATAAAGATGATACAATGGAGTTTGGGGACTCAGGGGAAAGGGTGGGATGGAGGTGAGGGATAAAGACTGTACGTTGGGTACAGTGTACACTGCTTGTGTGCACCAAAATCTCAGAATTCACCATTAAAGAATTATTCATGTAACCAAAAAAAGAAAAAAAAATTTAAAATAATGGCAGCTAAATTAGGGTAATTAAGGGTAAAATAGTAAAGATATTTTAAACATCTTTTACAGTATCAAAATATAAGAACTGCAGTTTAATAAATAATCACAACTAGATTGGAGTTAACTATAACATACTCAGCCATGGTGAGTCTACACTGTTAAGGAGGCAGAGGGACATGCCACATATTTTACAATAATTTAAAACATATATATTGCTTAATATTAGTCAACTTGGTTTTAAAAGACTAAGCTCTAGGCATTTAGACACATTGCTTTGAGAAATGACATATTTCCTGGACTGGCCAGACTGCTTTTTGAGTAAATTGGAGCCACAAAATCAAGGTATATATTCAATCCATGAATGTTATGATTTCTCATATGCAGCATTTTGAGGTTCTGATACATCAAAGCATTCTGAATAATAAAATCTCACATCTAATTTTTATCCTTATTTGAAGACACTCTCAAAATCTTCACATATTTCCAATTAGACTTTGAGAAAACAGTAAGCTAAATTATTATTAAAACACTCTTAAACTATATGTTTAATCTGAACATTGTAATGATTAAAATGACCCACTCAGATTAAAATTGTGGTTGTTCAAATACTGCATGTTATTATTTATAAATGAGAGTCAACAATGGGTACATGCAGACATAAAGAAAGAAAATAATAGACACTGAGGGCTCCAAAAGGAGGGAGGATGGGAGGGGCATGAGGGCTGACAAATTAGCTATTGGCTACAGTGCTCACTATTTGGGTGGTTGGCACACTCGAAGCCTAAACCTCACCAATATGCAATATATCCATGTAACACACCTGCACATGTATCCCCTGAATCTAAAATAAAATTTAAAAAATACAGTTAAAAATCATGGTCATATAAAAATAAATATATAAGGAGACAAAATCAATTACTCTGTAAGATCTTCTATCTTTTTTTCCACTAGAGTAGGAGGCACATTGGAAACAATGACTTGCATATCCAGCTGATTGACCACGGAGACCTGAAAGAAGAAAAAACAGAATTCATTTAATTTTTACTCACTGAAATTTCCATAATCAGAAAACCCCCACATTACCTCTTCCCTACTATGCATAGACACAGTGGTTTCTGATTTTCAAATTCAGGAACAAATATATATACATTTTTAATTATATGATCTACACAAGGGGTTGGAGACTAACTGGGGCAGACTGAGCATGAGAAACTATTTGTTGTTTACCTAGAAATTAAGAATCCTGAGTGATTTCAATTGTTTTTGGTTATGTGTTTGTTTTATTGGTTATTTACTGAGACATGAAGGGTGGCATTTTTTTTTAATTTGATTGTTAAGGAACACCCAAGATAATGAAAAATACGTTTTATATTTTACAAGTCTTGAGAAATCATTTATTCATTATAACTAAGAATCTGAGATATGACTGGTTAGAATAATTCATTCTATGAGGTCATCACATATAGTTTTCTTGTCTATTTAACCAACTTTAAATTTGTGTAGGTAGAGGTATATATTTAGAACTTTACATATGGGTTAAATGAGCTAATTTAATGGCTGTTGATAACTATGTATCATTCATTTAAAATCTACTGAATTTCTTCTATGTTCTTATATTTGAAAAATAGAAGAAAAATAAAAATATTTATTCTGTGCTTACAACATGGCATTTCATCTTTTCCTCAATATTCTACAGGTTTAACTCATTGAAATCTATCAACAGAATCAGGTTGTTATTAATATCATTTCGATTTTAAAACAAAAAAAATAAATTGAGGATATATTTAATAACTTAATCCTAATTAAATGCAGTCTGCCTTACACCAGAGCTTGTGCTCTTTACTATTATCCAATACTGATATAAAAATTCTAAAAAGCCATATATTATCATGCACATACATTTATACACTATTAAAATATAAATGCATTTGTACCAGAATCATAAATTGAACACTCTGAGTTAGGCATATTTAGCACCGTATCTCAATACAATCTACAGTAGGGAGTAATTTCACATTGCCACACATGTTTTTATAGGCTCCAGATTCTTTACATATAGAGACCCCATTAGGGGTCACAAACTCAAATGCCTTCAGGAACCAGGCAGGTAACTTAAATGAGAAAAGTAGCCAAAAGTATGAAATGATAGAAAGAAGTGTAAGTAACAAATCCAAGAGCACATAACTCTGCTGAAGAGGTCAGCTACTACTCACCTCTAAGGAATATTGCAGTGTGGGAAACAAAATCCAGATTTCCTAGATATTTCAGTTTTTCAGGAAAAAAAGAAATCCAAAATATTTTGTAAAATGTTTGCAACTAGTTAGAAATCTATCAAACCATTGTGTGAGCATGATCAATCATGTCTGAAGACTGTATTAAGACAGGAGTAGGTCTGATTATTACTTCTGAGCAAGCAGTTTATGCTGGCAGTTCTAACCTTGTACCCCTAACCCGTCATAGGTGTCTGGGACCAAATGACTAAATTTCCCTTCAACATGTAAATGAGTCTTGATTATCTTTTTACAAAACACTAGCTACTTCACTAGCGAACTAGCGAAAGGGATCATTACAGTTTTTGTATCACTTTGTCTTTTCTTATTGGTCTTGAGTTAAAGAGGATATAGAAGTTGAATAGAAATATTTTTTGTTTTATTGTTTTTGAGTTTTTAGCAGTAAAATTACATGATAAAAATTTCTAGAAGTATGTATATGAAACTTGCATAACTGTTCCCTCCCTCCCTCCCCTCCTTCCTTCCTTCTTTCTTCCTTCCCTCTCCTCCTTTTTTTCTTTCTTTTAACATTGGGCCAGAAACGGTTAAAAAAAAGTTTTGATAAAAATCAAACCACCCGGAACAAGTAGTAACTATAGGGTGTTATCCCAACGAGAAGTATAATCACTAGGCCTCATTCTCTGTTCCCTGAAGCTCCCATCATCTCCTCTAACTGCTGGACTCAGAAGTACTGGAGTCCTGGCCTCAGGACAGAGGAGCTTTTGCAGTGGGACTAGTGCTGAAGCACTTCCTAATTCCACCATCTGTTGGGAGAAAGCTCCTGGACCATGATGTGGGTTATGGATAGGGTGAGTAGTAGGGAACATTAGCAGGATACTGGAAAAGAGAAGAAAATGAGTAGGAGAAATAACTCTTTATTACTGGTTCTTTCAGTGGAGAATTGTTAGGACTGTCTGCCCTGTCAAACTGTCCTCTTCTCACATGTCTGTCTCCTGGTCTGGTAAGCATGTGCTTCAACCCACCTTTTCTGGCTGACAGACTGTTACAGATCCGTACTATTAGTATCCCTTGAATTTTCCACTGTCTCTTATTTCCCTACATTCATCCTGCCCAGGCCTTCAAAAATAGACCCTTCATTAAACTGTCTTCAAATTATCTGACTCTTGCAGCGGAGACTTAAAATTAAAAAAAAAAATGTTTCACATGTGCATGAATTTTCTGCCAGGTCCTTACTGATATAGATCCGAAAAACCATACAATCAGGTGTCAGGCTGTATATACCAGAAATCGGTCACACTTTACAAATATGATATATGATGTGAACAAAAACAAAAGTGGGAAAGGAACTAAGTAGTAACTAGTGGAGGATAGATTCAGCAGCCTCAGAGGAAGACCAAACATAAGCCTTCCTATCTTAGGGTAGAAACAGGATTTAATCAAGGAAATCTCCTGCTCCCGGGATGGGGATCTACATTATATATACCCAACAGGATTTCAGAATTGGCCTGGACAATTCCATATGTCTACCATTACTGTCCTCTTCAAATAGGAATTTCTAGTGGATATTCTGTATTTTTCCATCATCTATACTGGGTGAATGTGTTTGCTGGATCACTAAAACATCAGAAGTTCCCTCTAGACCTGATAAAAAGAACAGCATGACATCTGAGATCCAGGTGTTAACTTTGATAAGACTTTGTTCTATTTGTGTGGAAAATAATGAAATAAATATTTGGTAATCAGAAGTATAGACTGGTTAGCTGTTCATCCAGCTCTTTCTGTCTTCCCACTGGGAACACACAGTCGATTTCTCAGCCTTCTTTGTAGTTTAGTGGAGCCATATGATGGAGTTCTGACCAACGTAAACTTAGTGGAAGGGAAGGAATGAATGTTCTTAAATTTGAAGGATAGTCACTGCTTTCTCTTCATCAGAAAGATAGGTTACTTATTCAAAATACTTTAAGCCAGGCGTAGTGCCTCACACCTGTAATCACAGCATTTTGGGAGACTGAGGCAGGCTGATCAATTGAGGCCAAGAGTTTGAGAGCAGCCTGGCCAACATGGTGAAACCCTGTCTCTACTAAAAATACAAAAAATAGCCAGGCATGGTGGTGCATGCCTGTAATTCCAGCTACTCTGGAGGTTGAGGCACGAGAATTGCTTGAACCTGGGAGGCAGAGGTTGCAGAGAGTCAATATCACGCCACTGCACTCCAGTCTGGGCGAGAGACTCTGTCTCAAAAAAAAAAAAAAAAAAAAAAGTGAGATTTTGTGCAAAATTCTGACTGAAATAGTAGGAGCTAACATTTAAGGTATCTAGAATATATCCATTTTAAGGTTACATTTTATTAACAAGATTTTATGATGTTAATACATTTTGAAAATATACTTTTATATTTTATTTTAAGGATATAAAAATAAAAAACATTTAATTCTGATAAATTAACAGAAGTCGCACTACCGGGAGTAGTTGTCCCACACTTACCTCTAAATCATTACTTTAAAATTTTTAAATCTCCTGAATGTGCTAATGTCTGGTTTATGTAGAACACACACATTTTGACTATGCAAATGAAGAAATAAGATATTACAGTTTACATTTGGTCTTTGACAGAAATTCTACATCCTAACTCTGGTTTGTTTTATCATCTATAACAAGGATATTTAGCTGTTTAAGATTAGTAGATTTTATTTATGCTACTTTTCCAGTATAGCTTCTGCAAATATGCAAATATTTCCAGAAATTTGCATGTCAGTTTATTACACCAAATATTTAATAATTCTCTGTGAAATTATTTAATTCTGTAGCTTAATAACTAATGAAAGCTTTATAAATATGTTTCCATCATCATTGAGATTGATATTTGTAATGGATTCAAATTACTAGGTATTGTTAAAAAGAAGAGAAATAACATTTGTGAAGCACAAAATTAAAAAAGCAATGGTTGGAAATTTACATGTTACTATTTCTATGTCCTTTCCATTTATTCTCATAAGTTTCTTTTCTTTCTTCCTCTATACTCTCATAAATTTTAAATAGTGCTGTCCAATAGAAATACAATGTGAGCCACGAATACAAATCACATATGTAATTTTAAATTTTCTGGCACCCACATTAGAAAGATAAAAATAATAAGATTAATTCAATAACACATTTAACCCAATATGTTTAATATATGTTTAGTAAAATATCATTTTAACATGTAAAGAACATTTTACATATTTTTATCAAAGTCTTTGAAATCTGGTGTGTATTTTATACTTATAGTACATCTCCGTGTGACCTAGCCATGTTGCAAATATTCAATAGCTACATTTGGCTGATAGCTAGCATATTGGACAACCCAACTTTAGAGATATTCATCATCTCCTGCTTGAACTGTCTTTCCTAACTAACTAACTGGTCTCTGCTGCAAACTCACATTTTATTAAATAAAAGAGGTGTTTTAATAGTCCATTTAGATAATTATGTATTTTCTTTTTTAAATACTATACCAAAATTTAGTTTCCACATGAAATCTGAAACCATGTTCAGTTATACTACAATCTATTTGTCTGTCTTGTACTTTTTTTTTCTTTTTTGCGATGGAGTTTTGCTCTTGTTGCCCAGGCTAGAATGCAAATGGCGTGATCTCAGCTCACAGAAACCTCTGCCTCCTGGGTTCAAGCAATTCTCCTGCCTCATTCTCCCGAGTATCTGGGATTACAGGTGCCCATCACCACACCTGGCTAATTTTGAATTTTTAATAGAGACGAGGTTTCACCATGTTGGCCAGGCTGGTCTTGAACTGGTGACTTCAGGTGATTTGCCTGCCTGAGCCTCCCAAAGTGCTGGGATTACAGGCTGAGCCAACACACCCGGCCATTGTACTTTGAATTGATTTTTTACACGTGCATAATTTTTTAACATCCTGCATTGGCCACTTGGAAAATACAAGTTTACTGAACACTGCAGATATTGTAAATATCAACACACTTCATTACACAATATCAATAAATAAATCACATTATTTAATACAACCACTGACTCATCAAGAAAGTCTAAATATTCGGAAGCTAGTCAAGTTTACAGTGACAGGTACATTTTTTTAATATTCTAATTTGTGCTTCAAAGCTTCAGTATTATCATTAGTTGGTTGTTTTCAATGAAATGACAGGCTCCCTTCATCCATTTTGTGTAAATGCCTACCAAATATTTAAGTTTGAATAACCATATTTTGTCTCTAAGTTGCTCTTTCATATAAAAATGTTAGTCCATAAAAAAAGCAGCTTGTTCAGCTTGCATAGTGCTTTTCCTTGAGGCAACCATCTTCCACATACAGCAGATGTACTCTATGCATACTTCTCATTTCATCAACAAAATAATGAAAAGGTGTTTAGGACACTTTCGTTGATAGGTTAGCTAGCTGCCTAGATAGATATACAGTATTTACTAAGGGAATGAATGTGAGGTTTAGGAGAGAAAGGAGTCAAGAAATTTTTTGCCTAAGGAACTCAAAGTGATTTGGTCATCAAATAAAATGAGGAAGACTACAGGTGGAAGAAATGTGATGAAGAAGAGAAATCCATTAGGAAACACTAAATAAACACCTTTTAAAAATATTCGGGTGGAATTGCTACATGTACAGATAAATATGCAAATCTGGTGTTCAGGAATGATCTTTAGTGTAAAGATGTAAGTATGAGCGCTTTTACTATGTAGATGATATTTTAAAGTTATGGGACTAAGTGAGCTTAACAAGTCAGTGAGTGCAGATAGAAAAGAGATTTAATGTCTGAGCCCTGAGAAACCTCAATACTACAAGGTCAGGAGAAGAAAATGAACCAGTGAAGGAGACTGAGAAGGAGTAAACAGTGAGATAGTAGGACAAGGGAGTATGGTGGGTGGTCTGAAAGCATAGTGAGGGTAATAGTCAAGCATTGCTGATGGTTCAAGTAAGATAAGGACTGGCATCATCAGTACATTTCCTAACATGGAAGTCATTGGTAGCATCGACAAGAATAGTTTGGAAGAGTGTTTGGAGAGAAAACACTCTTATGATTAGAGGGTTTAAGAGAGGGTTTAAGAGAGGGTTCAATAGTGAGAAATAAGTCAAATCTAACATAGAATTTTGCTAAAAAGAAGAATAGAAAAATGGATGGCAGCTAGAAGGTGATATAGATCAAGGGATGTTTTATAATTTTTGGAAGATAGAAAAAAAGCATTGTTGTGAGAATAATCTGATATAAGGAGGAAATTTATATTAATAATGTAGAAAAGAAATGGGAGAGCTGCTGAGGCAATCTCCTAGAGCTGGCGAGTGGGAATTGAATCTACTGCATAAGTAGAGGTACAGGCTTTAGATAAAAACAGAATTCATCTAAAGGAGCCAGAAAGAAGGCAAAGAATGTTGGTCTAGATCCTGGAGGGTAGGTAAATTTAGTGGCAGGAGTCATAGAAGTGTCCTTCTAAATGCTTTAGTATTATTTTTCTGTGAAATAGCATGCCAGTTAATCAGGCCATAGTGAGAATGAGGACAAGGTATTGGAGATTCAGGAGCAGAGAAGATTTTCTAGGACATCGAGGCAAAATAGAGTGATTACTGACCAAAGCAAAAGCTCATTTGGAGGGTTTGTTTTAGTCATTAATTTAAATTGATACTGATGCAGGAGAACAGGGTCTGGAGGCAGGGAACCTAAGGCCAATTTGTGCTGACTTCCTAAAGCTAAATCAAAGGGAAAACACCAAGGTCTGGGGTCAGGGAATCTAAGGCCAATTCATGATAGTTTTCTAATGGTGGATTAAACAGGAAACTCCTGGGTCTGGGGGCAGGGAACATAAACCAATTAATGCCAACTTCCTAAAGCTAAACAAACAAACAAACAAAAATACCATCTCCCCACACCCCACCTGAGTAACAAAGGATCAAAGGCTACTCTCCCTAAAACCTTCCCCCTTCCCCCATGTCTCAGATGGAAAGGGAAAGTGCCTTGGAGTGGCTGTGGGCCAAGCAGGGGCCATCCTTTCATTTGCTTAGGGCATCAATCCACTCAGGCCTTGGGTCAATTCAGCTCAGCCTTTAGCCTCAGGCCAAATCCTTCATCCAGATAAGGGGTAGCCCACAGGGACCTCAAAAGGAGTATTAAAACCCAGAAAACTTTGTAACCAGGCCCTTGAGTCACTTGCTTGAGTCCACTCCCAACTTGTGGAGAGCTTTCTTGCTTTAATAAATCCCTGCTTTCCGAGGTTGCAGTGTTGCAGTGAGCCAGGATCGCACCACTGCACTCCAGCCTGGGAGTCAGAGGGAGAGTCCGTCTCAAAAATAATAATAATAAAATAATAAATAAATAAATAAATAAATGCCCACTTTCCTTGCTTTGTTCCTTTGTTTCGTTCCTGTGTTAATTTGTGTGTTTTGTTCAATTCTTTGTTCAAAACACCAACGACATGGACAATTCACACTCAAAGCCGTCATGTAACAATACTATAGCTAGGCATGGTGGTGAGTGCTTGCAGTCCTAGGTGCTAGGGTGGCTGAGGTGGGAGGATTGCTTGAGCCCAGGATTTTGAGGTTGCAATAAGCTTTGATTACACCACTGCACTTTGACCTGGGTGATAGAACCAGACCTTGTTTCTTAGCAACAACAACAACGATACTAATTATAGAATTTTGTATGTTTTTGCAGACATAATCAGCATGGATATAGGTCTGGAGAAAGGAGACAGTTGGAATTAACCAAAGTGGAGGTTTTGCTAAGTGAATATGACATAGAGAAAGAAAGCAAGAAAGTTAAATTTTATATGATGTACTGCTTATTATAATTGGTAATGCATTATAAATCCAGTAAACAAGAAAGAGAACATGAGAGGTTCTCATGAGAGAACACAATGGAAGTTAAAATTATTCGGCTAATTGGACTGGACATCCTGGTAGGAACAAAAGAATGATGGGTTTAGCTGCAATGTTAATTAAATGTTATGGACAAAGAGTGGGAGGTTTGAAATGGAGGTTATAAAGGTAATGGCAAGGTAAGCCAAGAACAGAAAGTTAAACACCACATGTTCTTATTCATATGTGGAATCTAATAAAAAGTGTTTACCGATCTTAATTTGATCAAAAATTTATGTCAAACTTAATATCTCCTATGTCAAAAGCTTCTTGGCTTAGAGTGGCCTTCATTTACTCTATTGCAGCTTTACTGTTAAAAATGAGAATGCTCCTGGAGGACTGTTTTGGCCACAATCATGGTGATTGTTCTTCACCATTATCTAAGAAGAAAAATAAAGCATTGATGTCTGCATGTATATGAAGGTTACGCTTGTCCAGGGAACTAAATGAGAAGAACTGCGAAAAAATGAAAATTTATGATGTAAAGAACAAAAGACAACTTATTCTTGATCTGTTTTTATGTGACAAATATTTCTAATGAATATACTTTGTATTAGATTCATCAGACAAAACTCCAAATAACCCATGCTTTCAAGTTGGTAAAGAGTCCACAGGATATATGCACTGGTGTTAAATATTTTCAATACAAGCTAATATCAAACTTCCCTTTCAAATGATCTATCACTAAACTTCTGCACTGCCTAAGTGAAAATTAGAACAGTGATATTATTGACTATAGCCAAATATAACTTAGTCAAGGCTAAACAATGTCATCATTGGGAATTTTGATAGAACAAAGAAATAAATACTATTGGAACAAAATTTGTCCCCAAACATTTTCTTTGTTTTCTCAATTACAAAATGCTGAAAGTAATTTAAACAAATAATTTCATAGTTTAATTTCTATAGTATAACTCTGTGAAGCATTTAAAATTTTTATGTAGCACTGGACACCCTATATTAAACATGAGCTTTGAAGACAAAATAGAAATCCAGTGCTTATACCTTTGCTGTTACAATCATATTTTTTCAAATATTATAATGTTTTTCTCAAAGGTCAAGAAAAATAAACACCTTACGGTGTTTTTGTAAATATATATATATATATATATATGAACAATATATTTACATATTCCTAAACTATAGTGACTAACAATCTGAGTGAAAATAATAATTATGTTTTTGAAAACCCGTTTTAAATTAATCTTAGAAGTTCTATAAACTGAAAACACTGACCTATGGCTAGTATCGTAGCTACTTCCCTTTCCTGAAGTTTTATCTACTTACGAGTACATCGGCTTTGCCGCTCAGTCCCTTCCCATAGTCGTCAGTTGCAATAACTTGAAACTTGAAGTAGGATCTCCTCATATTATGGAAGAGCATAGCAGTTTTGATAAGCCCTGTATATGTTTCCACTACAAATCCTTCTTTTCCCTCTTTAATTGGTGGTATTATGAGTCTGTAGGCCATGACACTATAATTGCCAGTATCTTTATCAGTAGCCTAGACGGAGGGGAAAAAAAAAGAGATTATAATTAAGCAGGAAAAGATAACCCTTATGAAATGGCTTACTTTTGTTTGTAAGAATGAGGTTTCTTATGTAATAATAACACAATAAAGCCCTCCTAAATGTCTGTTTTTTCTGGATATAGTTATGTAGATTAATAGACTTTGTGTCCACAGTTTCGAATGGTTGCTATTAGAATGATAATAACTGCTGAAGTATGAATAAAAGGGACATAGGTATAATTCTGTACCCTTTAACAAATTTCTCCCTACCCCTCCTTTCCTTTTACCCTTACCAGCCTCCAGTATCTTGTATTCTACACTTTATTTTTATGAGATCACCTTTTTTTTAGATTCCACATATGAATAAGAACATGTATGTGGCATTTAACTTTCTGTTCCTGGCTTATTTCATGTAACATAATGTCCTAGATAGGGAGAATATGTTCTAGTGCTCTATACCACTGTAGAATAACTACAGTTAACAATAGTATATAGTTCCAAATAGCTAGAAGAAGGATATCGAATTTTCCCAACACAAAGAAGTGATAACTGTTTGAGATGACAGATATGCTAATTACCCTGATTTGATTGCTATGCATTATACATATAGAAACATCTATGTACCCAATAAGTAAGTACTATTATTATTTGTCAATTTTAAAAATAGATTTTAAAAAATAAACAGACATAGACACTAACAGAGTCAATGAATCAAGACTTTTGGTTTACAGGTTTGTTGAGTTCAACTGTGTGTGCTGATCCAAATTGGTTGAAAGATGGGATTGGTTGTTTACCTAATGTTTGTCTTGCTGTAATAGGCATACAGTGTGATGGTATTTTTGATGTAGTATATAGCCTAAGGAGGATAAATATAAAAGAACGTAGTAAAATATCTCGAATGAAATAAAATAAAGTTGAGTTATAACAAATTTAGAGATGCATAAAAATATTCTAATTAATTAATGCCATAACATAATTCTCTAATTAGAGTTAGAATACTATCCGACTTCCTTTTTAATCATCCTGTATCCCGATTAAACATATTTGTTCCTGGTGATAGGTACTTATGATCCACATATTAAAGTTTCCTACCATTTAGAATTAAAAAGGACTAACACATTGTTTAGATTTTTTTCATTTGTTTTTAAATACAGCTATGAGAATCATATATTGGGCTGGCTTTATGGTGTCTAATTAGGGGTAATTTTTTAGAATGTCTATTTCAGAACCATTTCATAGTGAAATACTTGGAAAATAAATGGTAGATAGGAGAGTTTTAGAGGCTTGATAAAAGACTATATATACCTTATTCATGATACTAGATATGTAAGTTATACATTTTCATTTGTTATAACAATGATTATTATTTTTATTATCCGATTATTCTTATTTTTACCTATGCTATTATTATTAAGTATGAGTATGCATTTATGATCTGCCATTACTAAGAATTGCTAAGAATCATACAAAATACAAAATACAATCACACAAAATAACATCATACAAAAATAGTCTTATCTAATAACAATATAAAAAACTGAGGAATATATTGTTTTACTTATATAAATTAGTGATATTCAATAAAATTTTCTGAAATGATAGAAATGTTCTTAACCAGCTCTGTCTTATGCAGTAGGTACTAGCCAAATATGACAAATGAAAAGTGGTTGATGTGACAAAGAAACTGAAATTTCAATTCAATCTAATTTTAATTTAAGTTACATAATGAAAGACTACATAATAAGTAGTAAAGTTGAGACACAAATGATTAAAATAGTAAATCATAGCAAATGTGTATTAAATACAGCATCAACTTGATTTAGCTTCAAATTCTATATATATTGTGAACCATTTAAAACGTTTCCAGATAATCATATCTACTTGTTAGAAAAGGTAATTTAAACTACTCAACACAGATAATTTCACTTCAGGATCAGCTGTTTCATGAATTTTCTAGGGAGTTAATATTCTCTTTTCTTTATTTTTTTCTCTGTCACCCAGGCTGGAGTGCCATGGCATAAACTCGGCTCACTGAACCTTAGTCTCCCAGGTTCAAGCTAGCCTCACATGTCAGCCTCTGAGTAGCTGGGACTATAGGCACTCCACTACGCCTGGCTAATTCTTTGTAGACACAGGGTCTCGCTATGTTGCCTGGGCTGGTCTCGAACTCCTTGACTGAAGCAATCCTCCCATCTTGGCCTACCAAAGTGCTGGGATTACAGACATGAGCCACTGTGCCAAACCTAAAATTATCTTTAGAAGAGGACAAGCTCAAACTACCGGCTAATCACTTTAGATAGTTTATATGGCTTACAGCATGGCAGAGCTCAGTTTTGGTATTAGAGTAATAGTAATTAGTTATCAATGTTAGGTCACATTCTCACTTAAAGGAAAAAGAAAATGAACAAAGAAAGAAAAACAGTATCAAAATTTTTTGTACTTAAACTTTGAACCACAGGTTTATAATCACTCAACAAAGGATAGCATAAGATAGAAAAAGGCATATTCCCAGCTAAAATAAGTCAAAGTCTGAGTCAAGGTATCCAAGACATTTCTTCCACATAGAATGAGCAAATTTGGGCCTAATGTCAGATCAGTCAGATTTGGTTACATATTATTCTCTATCTTCTTATTAACATGGATATTTCTATGAAACAAACTTTTTATTATTAATGTAAACTTTATAAAGGAATAACAAACATGCAAAAAGTGTACAAATTATAAATGTAAAGCTCATTAAAATTTTGCAAAATACACACATCTACATGACCAGCATTTACATCAAGAAACAAAACAAGCCAGGCATGGTGACTCATGCCTGTAATACCAACACTTTGGGAGGCTAAGGCTGGAGGATCACCTGAGCCCAGGAGCTTGAAACCAGCCTGCACAATATAGTGAAACTCTTATCTCTTGAAAAAAAAAAATTACCCATATTCCAGAATGCACTTCATGCACTTGGAGTCACAATCTGAGACCTTCTTAAGGAAAACCACTTTCCTAATCTAACATTGTTGATTAGTTATGCCTATTTTTAAAACTTTACATTGACTGAATCATAAAATATGTTCTATTTTCTGTCTGACTTCTTTCATTCAATTTTGCACTGTAAGATTCTAAGCCCTTATATTTAAAATAAATACTGTATAACAACACTATCACATTTGGAAAAGAAAAGGTGGTTACCATAAAATCACCACAGTGATTGCTTGGTATATTAAGCTACTTTACACAGTTCTGACTGATTAACTTCCAATTTCAGTAAGCAGGTAATTTCACTTTGCAATATTCCTAATATATTAAATTATGATAACTACAAAATAGTCATATTCCATCTTAAAATATTAAAGTGTTCTGTTAAATGTGCCTTTCCTGAAACAAATTATCACTTAATGCAAAAGTTTGGGTGTGGAACTAGACAATTTAACTCAGAAATAACTATTTTCTTTTATGATTTTTCATATAAATGCCTTAATATTTGCAGAAAATAGTCAAGAATGAGATAAAAGTTTTTTTAAAAATCTTGTCTACTGGAATTAAAAAAAATAAAACCCTATTGTCATATGTATGTTATACAGTAAGGACTCTAATTTTTATTTCTTTGAATGAATATGATAGTCTTTGGGATCTTAGAGATCTTATTTCAGGAGATATTCATCAAAGATGATTGCCAGGATCATTAGCATATTTTTCAAATCTCCCCTCTTCCTCAAGTATGTTCAGTTGAATACTAGTAATTTAAACAGTGACTGATGAAAATTCCAATGGGTGCCATACTTAAGAGCAATTGCATGGATTTTTAATTTTTAGTCTCCCCAATTTATAACAAATACATATTTTAAAATCCGAAACCTCTCCTCTAAGATGTGACTCTGATTGATGTGGAGCATATGCAATACCATCATACATAGATAACAACCAAATGTTCTTTCTATAAAATCAATAACAGGATACGATATCTTTAAATACACACTGAGTCACACCAGAGATACCAATAATAAAATTCAGAGCGCAGTTTTAAATCTGGGTCAATATGTGAAAAATAAGTGAGAGTTTCAGCACAGAGTATATTGTCTCTATTTGTTGTTAAATAATTTTAAACTTACTTTTTTGCTTGTTTTTTGCATTATGTTTTGGAGTGAGGTGGACTCCAATGTCAGGTGTGACTTTGAAAAATTAATAACTCAAGGCCGGGCGCGGTGGCTCACACCTGTAATCTCAGCACTTTAGGAGGCTGAGGCGGGCGGGTCACAAGGTCAGGAGATGGAGACCATCCTGGCTAACGCAGTGAAACCCCGTCTCTACTAAAAATTAAAAAAAAAAAAAAATTAGCTGGGCGTCGTGGCAGGCACCTGTAGTCCCAGCTACTCGGGAGGCTAAGGCAGGAGAATGGTATGAACCCGGGAGGCGGAGCTTGCAGTGAGCCAAGATCGCGCCACAGCACTCCAGCCTGGGTGACAGAGCGAGACGTCGTCTCAAAAAAACAAAACAACAAAACTAATAACTCAAAATTTCAGATTTCTTTATTCATAAGATAAAAATAAGGATGCCCAAAAATAGTATTTTAAAATTTTATATATATTCATACGTGTGTGTGTGTGTGTGTGTGTGTGTGTGTATATACACAAAAATATAAATATGACCAAGTCCAGTGTAACTATTATAGTTACCTAAGTTGTCATAATGGTGATTCAAAAGGTTTAACATTTTTTCATATTATGTTTATCCATGAATATGTAAATTTATGCAATCAATTTAGACCCTTATTACTTCAGACATATTATCACACAATTGTAACTCCCTTATAACTCTACTTTTCTTAATTTTCTTTTCCAGCTCTCCTTTATTGCTTCCAGTTCTTGTTTTGTTTTGTTTTGTTTTGTTTTGTTTTGTTTTGTTTTGTTTTTGAGATGGAGTTTCACTCTTGTTGCCCAGGCTGGAGTGCAATGGCTCGATCTTGGCTCACCGCAACCTCCACCTCCCTGGTTCAAGCAATTCTCCTGCCTTAGCCTCCCCAGCAGCTGGGATTACAGGCACTTTGGGAGGCTGAGGCGGGCGGATCACCTGAGGTCACAAGTTCGAGACCAGCCTGACCAATATGGAGAAACCCCGTCTCTACTAAAAATATAAAATTAGCCAGGCATGGCTTCCCCCTCATTTTTGAAGCAATTTTGCAAAACCTCTTCCTCAGTTGAAATCCATGAACTTTTGTACAGTACACACTCTACCCCTCCTTGTTGCCAAACATAATGAGGATGTTGGTATCTTGCTCTCAGTCTACCCCTTCTACTTCAACTTCCTCCCTCTTTACAAATTTCAGTATTCATTGAGATGACACATCCAGCAACTTATTTTTAAAGTATTAGGCATGAATAACATTCATCAGTCTTTGAACGACCTCACTGCATCGATTTAATTCTACAGTCACACTTTAGTCTTTTGCCTTAGGGAGATATTCCGCTTAAAGAAACACTCCATATTTAATTTATATATTAAACTTTCATGTCTAAATTCTGACCACAACTTTAATCATCATACTTAGTTAAGACCTCTTCTTTGATATCAGTGAATTTTCAGTTCTGCAAACTGCCTTTTGCTCCCATTACTTCAGGGTTTATGTCCCTTTCTGCTTTATCATAGAAGTCAGAGTTGATCACATTGTTCTCATTTCTCTCTCCTTCCACAACACCTGGATCTTTCTCCTCTTGGACCAAACTAACCATCAGTTTACTCCTGGTGACTGAAGAGGGCGCAGAGAAATTAAATAATCAGTCAGACTAGTGTTACTGTAAGTCCATGGTCTCTGAGTTTCACTGTGCCTTTGTCTATTTAGGAAATCCTTGCTATATGTAATAAGTTCTCTTTCTCACTCCAGAAGTTTGCCTTTTTCTTTAGTTCACAGATTCTTTCAGTCTTCTCCAGAGATAAGGAAGCTCTAATTCCCATAAAATTTGAGGATATCAAATGTGAGATCTCTCAGCTTTTCATCACATAACTAAAAAAGTACCTATATCTGTACTTACTTTGACTACTTTCTTCAAATCTCAGAGGAGCAGCTGACACGTATCTCTCACTGAAGGTACTTATGCCTTAATCTGAATCACTCCCATCCCTTCTGCATTTAATGCTTCATCAGCTCTATTGATCTCTGTCCTTTTCACCTCTCCTCTACAGACTATAAAACACGTTATGTCTCTCTCATTAAAATGAAATGAAACTTTTCTTTTACTGAGTCCACACTCGTGACACTAGCCCCCAAACTTCCATACCTATTTTTCACAGTTAAGTTCCTCAGAAAATTTTTATAGAATCACCATCTGTAATTCCTTACTTTACAATCATGCCTTAACCGCAGCCAGATCTCTGCCCCTGCCATGCCATTTAATTTGCTAACATCAGTGACTGAGGCTGGACTCCATCTCAGATCAACAATCAGTCTGGTGTTCTTTAAATTACCAAGTCCATTTATGTTGTTTGTATAATGCTGTTGCTGCTTCCGCTGTTTGCTAACATTTATTGAACACTTACAATTTGCCAGATGCTATGTAAATACATATATTATTACATTATCTCATGACATCCTTTCCATTGAGTAGATTCCATTATTATTTTATAGGCCAAGAAATGGAGGCACAGAGAGATTAGTAACTTGTTCATAATCACACATATGGTTGTTAGCACAGTGGGATAAGTCTCACTTTAAAGCCACTACATTCCACATGTGAGACTAAATACCAGGGATAAAACTGCAGTTTAAAAATAAAACAACAAATGTTCGATAAAATATTCTAAGAAATCTTCCTAGATCCATCAAGAAGATGGAAAGACAATAAATATGCCAGTCAAAAACAAAGTGCTATGGACTGATTATTTCTCCCCAAATTTATATGTTGAAACATAATACTCAATGTGATGTCATTTGAAGGATGGGCCTTTGCAAAGCAGTTAAGTTCATGATGGCAGAGCCCCCATGAAACGGATTGGTTCCTTTTTGAAAAGAGGCCCCAGAGACTTCCTTTGTTCCGTTTTGCCATGAGAGGACACACTAGAAACGCAGCCATCCATGAACCAGGACGGCCTCGCTAGGCACTTAATCTATTAGCACCTTGATCTTGGGCTTCCCTGCCTCCAGAACTATGAGGAAAAATAAATTTGTCTTGTATATAAGCTTCCAAGTCTATGGTATTCTGCTATAGAAGTCTGAATGCAAAAGTAAAGGTAAGAATATAAAAACCATAGTACTGATGGGAGCTTTCATTTAGAATTTTTTTGTTTTTTTTACTGACCTGGGTAAAATTAAAATTTAACTTGTCTGGTTTTCAGTAGCTCAGACAATAGGAGGCAAGGCCCCAAGCCTACTCATGAAAGTGAGTCTATTAAGATTTCCCTCCCCAGAAAGTTAAATTCTCACCGTAAGAGTAAAGGAGAAATTTACTTTTCCCCCTGCTACCACTGCTACTATCACCCCAAACTGCAACGAAAACTGTAAACTTAAACTTTGCTATTGAGGGGAGTGAAGAGAAAACTTCTTTGAGAATCTAGGACGAAATACAGCCCCTCATTTTAGTTTGCAGCCATTATTTGCCGGCCACCAGTTTGCCCAACTCAAGGAGAAATCATAATATTCCATTGGTAAAGTCTAATAGGCCTGATCTCCACCTGAATGGACAGAAAAACCACAACCTGAGAATTTAAGAGAAATCATCTATGACTGAAAATGGCCTGGTCTCCTGCCTGACAGAAGCAGGTGCTTTTTCAAAAACCCCTCCTGCAAGCCATGCCTAAAATAATTCTAACAAATAAAGTTCCAAGAAAGATGAAAAGTTATAATAATTATCAAAACAAACAAGAAACAATCATAAAAAAGTCCGTTGAGATAAAAAAATCAAATTCATAACAACATAGACTTTAAATATTTGAATTAGTAGACACTGAATATAAAGCAAATATGGTTAATACATTTCAATAATAAAGAGCTTTAAAATGCGGAATAAAAAATGAGACTCGTTGAAAAGAAATGAAAAAGTATCTTTTAGAAATAAAAAAAAATTAGAATTAAATACCCCAAGATGGGATTGTTAGCAGGTTAAGCGCAGCTGACCAGGGAATTAGTAAATGAAATGATAGGGCAAAGGAAATGACACAGAATGTTTCACAGAGCTACGAAGATGAACAACCTCAAAAAAAAAAAGTTTGAGATATGGAGTTTAGAATGAAAATTTTGGCAAATATCTAATCAGAGTTTCAGAAAGAGAGAAAGCGAGAATAGAACAGAATTTTCCAGAACTGATAAAAGATTGTTATCCACAGATATTAAGAAGCCCAATAAACTGCAAACAGGATAAATAACAAGTAACTCACACCTAGAACCCACATGTCATATAGAAACTACAGAACCACGTACTGTAAATATAATAAGTATTGTTTTCTTAATATTTTGGGAAAATTCATAGAGATATTTTAGTAATGGCATAAATAATTCATAAATATATTCTATAATTTATTAATAGTAATAAGGAGATGTCTAACAAGTTGGGTTAAATTAATGCATAAAAATTAAAACTGACTCACTGTGGAAACGCTAAATGAATACAATTTACTAAAGAATTAATATGATATTACTTTTTCCACCAATTTCTCTATAATCAAACATTTATGCTCAGTTCACAACAAAGTCATTAATATCTGGGAGAGGTGACTCTGGAAGATTTGATTCACTGACTTTTATGAGTTTCCCTTAGTGAACAAAATAAAAAAAAAAGTTAGTCTAGAGTTCTTTTAAAAGAATAAAAGTCAGAAATGAATATTATAATTATACTTGCTATAATTATATTTTAAGTGAAAGCTTAGATACAGGAAACCACTTACCCATTTCTAAGACCTCATCTGGAAATTTTAATGGATACAGATGTACAACATTAAAAGAAAATCACCAAATAATTGCCTCTATCATACAGGGGAGTAGGGGAGACCATTAATTTTCTAATAGCCTAAATAACTGTTCCCCTCTGTTGCCTAAATGAATACCATGGATGCAGAAATATTAGTGAAATAATTAGTGATGTCCTAAGAACTTTCAAACCCATTAAAGTTCAGTAATGCCAAGTTTAACTTTAGCTTCTCAATTAGACCCATTTTAACATTTAACGGTATTGAAGGCTCACTTACCCTGAAATAGAGTGAAAGTGTTTTAGACTGTCTGGATAAAAATACTCAAATCTCACATTTCCACCTACCAAGGTCACTATGTCAAGTTTGCAAAAAGCAAAAATAACAGAGCTTTGGCAGGTTAGAACCACTTTAACTTGAGTCTTGTTTTTTTTTTTGTTTTTTTGTTTTTTTTTTGACACAGTCTTGCTCTGTCACCAGGATGGAGTGCAGTGGCATGATCTCAGCTCACTGCAACCTCCGCCTCACGGGTTCAAGCGATTCCCCTGCCTCAGCCACCTGAGTAGCTGGGACTACGGGCACCCACCACCAGATCCGGCTAATTTTTTGTATTTTAGGAGAGACGAAGTTTCGCCATGTTGGCCACGATGGTCTTGATCTCCTGACCTCGTGATCCACCCGGCTCGGCCTCCCAAAGTGCTGGGATTACAGGCATGAGCCACCGCGCCCGGCCAACTCTTGTATTTTTAGAAACCAGAAAGAAATCTTTATTTTAAAGTCCTTAAAGACAATATACCCAGAACATGATAAAATATGAATAAGAAAAATGTCAGGTAGATTGATCTACTTTTAGGGCTATTCAAAACTTTTGCAAAAAAAAAAAAGAAGAAACAAGGAGAGAAAGAGAAAAGAAACATTTTAAATATGCAAGCTCAAGTGTTTGATTTTGCATAAGAATGTCAAACAGTGACTACAATGCAATATTAATAATTTCTAAGTTCAACATACCTATTTACTTTTTGTAGAGTTAAGTAAAAGTCTAATATAATTCTGAGAGATTCTAAAGAGTAAAATACAACTCATTGTAGAAACAGCAATGTAATAATGGAAACACGCCAGTGCAACAATAATAGAGACATGCCATCATAGTTTGAATTACAAAGACCTTTACAGGGCTGGGTTTCGGTTAGAATTTATCAAAATTTACTCTTAATTTAAATCATGGTGCAAAAAATTACAGGATAACATCTATTTAGAAAATTAAAGAAAGAAACTAAAGAAAAGCCAAATGTTCCTTTTATTATTTTAAAAAATTATATGGTAAATTCTGAACCATAGAAGGCTTGAGAGTACAAAACAAGCAGGACTTGCATGTATGTTATAATTGAAGTTTCCTTTTTTATTTTTTCCTTTCTTTTAAAAATGTTTTGTAAAATAAATATTACCCTATAAATGGTTTTGCTTTTTCCGTCATTATTGCTAATAATAAAATGATTATACCTCCCTCAGAGATGCTTTAAAATAAACTCTGAGCTAATTGTTCTAACTTTTCAACCATGTGAAAAAGAAAAAAATTGTGCTCTATTATATAGACAAGTTAACAAAAGAAAACACACATGTAATTTATGCTTTTTACTTGAGAGGAAACACTAGTTTAAATGTTGGTTTGGTTTTGAATCACAAAATGCTATTAATTTTTACCGAAAATATCCACTCTTAAACAGCTTATCTTTTACAATAATTCTGTAGTTATACATCCTAAATCCTTCAGCATTCAAAGCAAATTAAATAACATACTTGTTATTTTTGAACTTCCTGATTTTTCCTTAGTTACATTAGGTTCAATCAGTCCAAACCAAATTCAGCTGCTGCTTCTTGGCTCCCACCTTGCTGTCCCTCTTCTGACTATCATATGTGGTTCTCCTTCTGTTTTTTCTTTTTGCATAGGAAGGGCAACACCATCTATGAACTGAACTGTTCTAAAAAATTTCAGCATCCTCCCCCTCGGTTTAATCTCACCTCCTGGCTCCTCCCTACTTCCAGTCCATCAGCAAGCATTCTGATTTCTACCTATACAATATTTCTCAGTTCTGTATAATACTTTAGGCCAAGCTTACACTGGCCAATTTCAGGCTCTCATCAGATCTCACTTTTAACTCTAGCGATAGCTTAAAAATTACTGATAGCTCCCACTTGCCAGAGATGAATGTTAAAACAAGTCCTTTAAATATTCTCAATCTGATTAAAGTTCATGATTCCAACTTTTTGCTTTACATTTATTCTACTTCCCAGAACCATATTATTTTGTTTTTCTGAAGAATGTGTTCTTTCAGGTTTCTATTTCTTTGTATACATTGTTTCTTCTACCTTAAATGAAATGTCTTTTGTCTGCTAGGCCAAATGATGTTCACTTCTTGGCTATACTATGGCACACACACACACACACACACACACACACTTTGAATATATATATATATATATATATATATATTCTACATATACATACAGTAAACTATGGCATACACACACACACTTTGAATATATATATAGACTATATATATTCTATATATATAGTCTATATAGTCTATATATAATAGACTATATATACTCATATAATATATTCTATATATAGTCTATATATATACTATACTATGGCGTACACACACGTTGAATATATATATATATCTCCATATATATAAAATGTGTGTGTATGCCATAGTATAGTATATATATAAATATATAATATATTATATATATACGTGTGTGTGTGTATATATATATATATAATAAAACACTGAATAAAGCAATCAAACCTCAGCTTAAATGACCCCTTTTCTGAAGGTGTTCTTATCTCTACTAGGGAGTGCTGCTTCTACTTACATATTTTCATTGTTATGTTACATAAATGTGTGTGTATATATTAGCATTTATTATGACACGTTTTAATTTTGTGTGTCCATTATACGTCAAATTTGTTTCAGTTCATATTTTTCACTGTGGTACCACGTGCAGTCAGTGGTCAAATAATATTTGGCTTAAATGTCTATAGAAGACTATCATAGTGGTTGAGACATCAATAATTAGAATTGAAAGATTTGAGTTTAGTTCTACCACTTATTAGATACATGAGCTTGGGCAAGTGATTCTCTAAGGCTTTGCTCCTCATTTGTAAAATGAGGAAAATAGGACATGCTGAATAAGTTGGCTGTGAATATTCACTCGGGTGTAAAATGCAGTGCCTGGTACAAAGTAAACCTAAATCAAGGTTAGCTGTTGTTTTACTATTGCATTTACTACTGAGATCTTTGAATACTTTGTAGCTATCTTCCTGATCTCTTCTATTTGTTCTTTTTTTTTTTAAATCACTTTTTGTACACTTAAACGTACCTTTCACTTTCTGCATCGTGTCACTGGCTATAAATTCTTTGGAAGCAGGACCATTTTCTGAATCGTCTTTGGATCTCATAAGTCTCATGGCCAGTAGAATGTAATTAGAAAATATTTGCTAAAGAATAAATCTGCCACTGAGGAAAGTATAGTTATTGATGTCTCTTTACTGAATGCTATATAATTTATTGATAGCAAAGCAAAAGCACTTAAATAGAAAATATTTATAATGATACAGATATAATAAGATGCTTATAAGGAGGGTGGGAGCCAAGAAGCAGTAGCTGAATTTGGTTTGGATTAATGAAGACTAATGTAACTAAGGAATAATATAGAAGTTTGGAAGTTTGAAATAACAAGCATGTTATTTAATTTGATTTGAATGCTGAAGGATTTACGATGTATACCTACAGAATTATTGTAAAAGGTATACCATTCATAAATAATTTAAGTATAGGCATTTTTGGTAAAAATTAATAGCATTTTGTGATTCAAAACCAACATTCAAACTAATTTTTTTCTCTCAAATAGAAAGATCAAATTATACATGTGTTTTCTTTTGTTAATATGTCTATGTGCCTCAGCCTCTCGAGTACCAGGGACTACAGGCGCGCACCACCACGCCTGGCTAATTTTTGTATTTTTAGTAGAGACAAGGTTTTGCCATGTTGGCCAGGCTGGTCTTTAACTCCTGGCCTCATGTGGTTTTGCCATGTTGGCCAGGCTGGTCTTTAACTCCTGGCCTCATGTGTTCCGCCTGCCTTGGCCTCCCAAAGTGCTGGTATCACAGGCTTGAGCCATCGCGGCTAGCCGTAACTTTATATTCTATACTTAAAATTTGCTTCATGATAAGCTGATAAATCCTGTTTGTAATTTCTGCATTTTGTATTTGTACTTTTTCATTCATTTTAAATCTTCTTCATGTAAAACAAATATTTTGTACTCCAATGCAGTGTTCAATATTAACTTGTAATTTCTGAAAATTTTACTGAGAAACCACTGGAATATTTAGAAATTCAAATAAAATAGGTGTTATGCATATTACATATAATGAAGACTTCACAGTTCATAATAAACATCTATTTTAAAATTACATGGCCACAGATTCAACCCATGGGCCCAAAATTTGCAACAGAGCAGGAAGACTTGTATTTTAATATGCTAACAGTACAAGTCATTTGACCTAGAGATAAAACAATTTAATATTTTAAGAACACAGGGTTCACGAAGCAAACTTGAACTTACTGTAAAATGAACTTACTGTAACATGATTTCAAATATGAATAGTGTATAAGAAGTCTATTCATCTTTTAATTTCTAAATTTAATGGAAAGTCAAAGGAAAGTAATAGCAGGGCAATTGAAAATTAAATCTGAATGTCGAATCCTCTGTAAATTCTGACAATTTTACTGCCTACCTAATAAATTTACAAACAGAAACAAAAAGCTCTATTACAAAAATTTTTAAAAAAACCTTTCTTATTGCTTTCATAGTAAAAGAGTATGTCGAGGCAAATATAATTCAATTTATAAATGTTTTACCTTGGAAAATAAATTTATAATTTTCAAAATAGACTGGATATATAGGGCTATGATGAAAGTAATTATTACCAAACAAAATGCCTTTAGTATTGTTATAATGACACTAATTGTAAAGAAGACTGTATTTATGGACTAGAATGGTACTATTTGTACATGGGACAATAAGATCTGTCTCCTCGAATTTATATAATTGTAACATGTTAATATAAACAACCCTCAAAAAAACAGTGTCTGTCCTCAGTGTCCTTCATTTAAATTGATGGTATTTTGGAGCTCTCCCTCGTGCTCTCTCTCTCTCTGTATGTGTATGTGTGTGTGTTTAAAAACACACATATGTATATATCACATATGTATACACATGCACACATATATAGTTATTTTTATATTTTATAACATGATGTATTTTGTGTCATGAGTACCAACTTACAAGTTTGCTAAAAAGAAATGGCTCCAACACCAGTAAAATTTCAGTGAAATAGTCTTGCTGCATGCAGCTATACTACCTAAAATTTCAGGATTTGTTAGCCAGACTCAAATACTGCATGTTCTTACTTATACGTGGGAGCTAAATAATGTGTACACCTGGACATAGAGAGTGGAATAACAGTCACTGGAGACTCAGAAAGGTGGGAGGGTGGGAGAGGGTGAAGGATGAGAAATTACCTAATGGGTACACTATTAGGGCGATGGTTACAGTAAAATTGGGAATTTACCACTACACAATACATCCATATAACAAATCCACTTGTAACCCCTAAATGTATAAAAATAAAAAAAGTAAAAATAATCATTGATAAAATTTTCTTAGCTTAGGCAGCAGAAAGTAATTGAGCATGACCAAAAACGTTTATGCCAATAGAGCAAAGAGAAAAACTGAGTACACATAATAAAATTTATCTTTTGAAGTTCACACCTGGACTAAATTATTAGACATACATAATTTTTAATCATTGAAAAAAACCAAGCCACCATGTATTTATATTCTTAAGAATAATATTTCTAAAATGTGTATGCTAGATTACTTTTGTCTACATAAAATTATACATATTTTTAACCCTTGCGATGTTTTGATGTGAATTGTGGTTCACAAAATATACTGGGAACTAAGTAAAAAAATTACAACAGGTAAATGACACAGATCTGATCAGGACTGAGATGAAATATTGTGGAAGCATCCATGGTCAGAGATTGCAGTGATTTTTATCTGAAGAGTTGGCCCCAAAACAATTTACTATACAGGATGATTAACATTACAATTCCATTTTGAGATAATTTGGTAAAATGTTAATATTATGAATTGCCCACTTGCTTTTTTTTTTTTTTTTTTAACATGGAGTTTGTTTCTGTTGCCCAGGCTAGAGTGCAATGGCACAACCTCAGCTCACTGCAACCTCCGCCTTCTGAGTTGAAGCAATTCTCCTCTGTTGGGAGAAAAGCTGAGTGTTGGGAGAAAAGCTGAGTGTTGGCAGAGAAGCTGAGGCAGGGCTTGCATGTCTGTGAGACTTGCTGGCTCCTTGCTTCTAGCACTCCCCTTATCTCAAGCAGACATATGTTTCTCATTCACTTGATACACTGTTTCCTTTCAACCCCCACATCCACATCACCTTTTTTGTTTGTTTGGGCACCAATAAATAGCATGGGCTCCCAGAGCTCGGGGCCTTTGCAGCTTCCACACTCGTGATGGCCCCCTAGTCCCACTTTCTCTCTCAAATGTCTTTTTCTCATTCCTTTGACTCTGCTGGACTTCGTCGCCCCCACTACCTGGTGTTGGGTCTGATCACCCCAACATTCCTGCCTCAGCCTCTCAAATAGCTAGGATTACAGGCACGCGCCACCACGCATGGCTAATTTTTGTATTTTTAGTGGAGATGGGGGTTTCATCATGTTGGCCAGTCTGGTCTCGAACTCCTGACCTCAAGTGATCTGCCCACCTCAGCCTCCCAAAGTGCTGGGATTACAGGTGTGAGCCACCGTGCCTGACCCCAACTGCTATTTTTTAAAAATATGGTTATTTTTCATGAACCACTGATGGAATTGTAATACACGCATATCTCTTTGCAAAGTTATTAGAATGTATTTGTTTTTCCCTCTGTTTTTCTTTTAAAATATTCCCAAATCATTTACATCTAATTATTAATGTTCTGTATTATGTGTAAAGATGAAAAATTGTAAAAATGTAAATGGCCAATAGTCTTTTATAATGTGTTTAATATATAAAATGCTTTGTGCTTCTTGCTTTTTAGAAAAATACCATTAAATGCAAATGGACCAAGGAATACAAAAACTTTATAATTTTATCCATTTACAGGCATCATTAACACATTGGTGTTTGTTCCTTTATGTTTTTTTGATGTACATATGTATATACATATATGTACATACACACATATACATATAGGATATTATGATCCTAGTTTACTGAAAGAATACACATATGTATACATATAAAAATACATAAGAATACACACACATATATACACACATATGCATACACATACATATGTGTGTGTATTCTATGTATTCATATATGTATATGTGTGTGTGTATTCTTCCAGCAAACTAGGATCATGCCATCCTATAGCTTTGTAATCCATTTTTTTGTCATTAGCCAGCCATTAAGAATTTTTTTGTTTTAACCATTTTCTATTTTAAACATCATACAACAGAAAGAGTAGGATAAAAATATCATAATGATCAGGTAAAATTATTTAAAGAGATATATTTTTTTCTTTGCATCATCATCTCCTTTTTCTCTTTTCTTATTCGTTAAATCTTTGTTTTTACAAATCCCTGTGCTAAGGGCTGATACTCGGTAGACTGCAGGGAGGAAACTGCTCTGCCACTTAAAAAACACTGACCAAGAAGCAGGTCATCTACACTAGTTCCTCACAAATGTCCTTTGTATGGCAGGAAGGAAGATATGTATGTTTTTAAGTGAATACATACACATCTATAAATTGTTGTAAAATAACCCCCAGAGAACACCAACATTACCAAAGCTTGAAAGATAGTTTCTAAATAACATTCACATTTAAAAGGCTTTTGTTTTGTTTGAGATGGAGTCTCACTCTCTTGCCCAGGCTGGAGCGCAATGGTGTGATCTTGGCTCACCACCACCTCCGCCTCCCAGGTTCAAGCGATTCTCCTGCCTCAGCCTCCCGAGTAGCTGGGATTACAGGTGTGTGTCACTGCACCCGGCTAATTTTTGTATTTTTAGTAGAGACGGGCTTTCACCATGTTGGCCAGGCTGGTCTTGAACTCCTGACCTCAGGTGATCTGCCCTCCTCGGCATCCCAAAGTTCTGGGATTACAGGCGTGAGCCACTGTGCCTGGCCTGTTTTTGTAAAAAAACAAAACAAAACAAAACAAAACAAACTGGTTTGTTTTTATTTGATTTGGCCAAAAAATAGCACTGCTCAATCTGTCTTTAACTTACTTGCCTTTGGCCAACTTGCTCTAAACCAAATTGTTCTTCAGCCAAATCTGCAGGGGCTGACACTGACAACTACTGGGGCGATTAAATGCAGGTTGAGTTTTGTACTGAAAAGGAGTAAGAGACAGAAGACTATATTTGAGGAAGATCTGGGAAATGTAAGAAATCATCTGAAAGTTGACTCAGTGCCCTGCTCTGTTTTACACCCTTTAACAAAGAGGGTATCATAAAAATTTCTTAATTCTGGTAGTTAGAAAGAATAAAAGTCATTCCGTGGGTGCCATTTCTAAACCATGGAAGATTAAATTAATGACCCCAAATCACACAGTTGGTGAGCAGAACATATAGTCTTTAACTCCAAGCCCCCATGCAGAGTTCGCCAAAAAACTGACTGTACTGAGAAAAGTATGTGGTGGGCTGAAGATTATTATCAGGTTCCTTGGTTCAGAAACAGATAATACCTGTACTGAACAGATAGCTTTCATTAAAAATTACAATCTAATATTTCTCACATTTTTCCCTCTGTGTAGATACTGTTAAGTCCAGTAGGAATTAGATTAAGACAAGCAGCTTTATCTCTACACCTCTTTTTCAGGACAAAGCAGAAGACAAAACTGGCAGGACACAGAGTTGCTTGTATCCTTATTAGTGATGCTACTTCATTAAATTTCATGTTGAAAGATAATTCAATGATTTAATTGCATTTAATGCTAATCAGACCCTTATAAATGTAGGTGAGATACACATTCTCATTGTATTATTTTTCATTTCTCATTAGTTACCCCTAATTTTCATGATGATTACTAACATAATATACCATTAATACTCTCAGGAGGTGGCAGAAAAGATTATGTGTCATGCTGTGATTCATTAATGCCAGAGAAAGAGCTGCTTCGTTTTTCAATATTTTATAGGTAATTCATTCTTTAATAATGAAAAATAAATTTTCTGCCATTCAGAACTTTCTATCAATACATTTACTTTGAAAAATGGCAATGTTGACCATACCTATATACAATGGGGTACTTATGGTCTCTCTATAAACATTCTTAACTTGCTGGCCTTTCCCAGGCTGGGCTTATTTTTTATATAGATTGTGCCCCCTCCTTCTAAAGAAAACTTATTTAATAAATTTCACTGCCTTTTCCCTTTTTTCCTACTTTAATTAAGAGAACTTCAAGATTTATTTCCACTTAGCAGATGTACATTAATTAGTATAATATAATTTCACTCCATTTTATGATATACTGTGGTATAAGGACCAAAAAACCTTCAATATGCCTTTTAAAAAAAAGAAATATTATTTTAAAAACTGTTCTCTGGATAAATTTATACTGATACTGCTTGAAGACTGTTTGAAGTGTTTCCAGCTGTGCTGTTAGGGTTTGTTTCTCAGGACTTCATGCCTGTACATATAGAGATAATTATTTATTTTTTCTTAAGCTTACCATACTCCCAGAAAGAAAAATATCAAGCTACAGATAACCATTGACAACAAGAAAATTCTATGCAAAAATACTTTATAACATGGTGCTAAGATAATACTACTCATTTAAAACATATAAATATGCCTCACACATTTTAATCTGGTCAGTATTCATATAAGAGAACCAACTATCTCATTTAACATATACAAGGATTTAGAAAAGTTATATTGAGTATTCCTCAGTGGAATAATATTTTCATGTAAATAATACACTAAGGTGTATCTCAAAGAGAACTCATCTGGTGACTTAATGGAGGAATCTATTATGTTGTATTCAGCTTCTTATAATTATTCCTTATTCTACTATTAAGAAGACAAATTAGCATTCTATACTAATGCTGAAGGTGAATTCTGGAAAGAGAGGCCCAGTATTCAGTTTTAAGGGCAAAGAAAAATGGCTGTGTGTTCAATAAAACTGTGTTTTTAATAACATGTATGCACTGTGCATGCTGTTTGAAACATTTTGATTTTGAGATTACTATCATCTTACAGGGAAAAAGAACAACTCAGGTAACAGGTAACAATGACTATTGAGAGATCTATTGAGAGAATGTCTATTTAGAGAATGTCTAAGTTCAGAGAGAGGAACGAACCGTGCTCAGTGCTTTATGTGCATTTTCTCATTTATATTCAGATAAAATTCATTAGCTAGTGTTGTCATCACTCTGCAGACCTGTTGCTTACAGAAATTAAGAAACCTGTCCACTCCTGGTTACACAGCCCACTCATGGTTAAATAAAACCTCACATTTGTCCTTATTATGCTTTTGGAAAACGGTTAGACTTAAATATATCAAAACTTTATTTTTATAATGTCCTTTATATATTATATTCATTAACCTTTCTTTCACAGTCTTCCGATTTAGCATACCCATAACATTTGGTTAAACTTTAATCAACATTGACTTAAATAAAATGTTCTTGTAGTAATTCCTATCATGACTTCATGTTTTTGGGGCAGGAGCTGCTAGTCGTTTCCTGCCCACATGTATGCCTCTTTTTTTTTTTTTTTTTTTTTTTTTTGGCACCTTTGGGCTCAGCCGCATCTTACACTCATATCTTAGCTCTGAACCAGAATATTGAGCCCAAAAAGAGCCCATTCCTCAAAAGAGGTTGTTTCAGTATCAACTGGTCTTGTTCTATTCAAATGTTACTTAATCTCAAAGTGAATATGTTCAGAGCTCACTGCCTTCTGGGTCTGGAAGCCACACTGTTTACTTTTTCCTATGATGTTTGTTCTCTGCTGAGTGTCGAAATCCCTCCAACTGCCTTTTCTAAGATGCAGGCTGTTCCCTTTCACTTATTTTTATTGCCCATTTTGGGCTCTTTATCAACGCCCTATATTATAAAACATCAGCAAGGACTGTGTCTGTGCTTACGTTTTTGAAGGATTTATGAATCTGTTTTTGACATGTTGGCATGATTATGCAATTTTTTCAGGTCCAAATGATACTATACTAGCTCATGATCCTGGATTCTGAAACCAAGAACCAAAGTAAACACATATGCTAGTTCATACTGACTTTCATTCTCCCTACCACCCTGTCTTTCAGATCCAACCTAAGGTATTTGATTACTGGCACCTCTCAGCTACTACCACCTGTAATATAGTATTTCGTCTTCCTAAAACATGCATTCTTGCTATAAATGACAAGAACACTATGTGGCATTGTTTTACCAAGCATTAAATATCGAGAATTCCTTAACATTAAGTAAAGAGAAGACTAATATTTAGATGGAATAAACTATGCTAACCAATAAGAAAAATACTAGCTTATCCCCTTTTGTCAGAATTATTTTATCTTCCATGAAGAATAACTTAAAATTAACAGAAAGTTGAATAATCTTTTTCCTTTTCCTTTTAATTTCAAGCTTGTTAAACATTTTTAGAAATGTAATATACATTTCTAAAATTGTGTCTCTACAGCTTCACGTTTCTTCTTTGTTTCTACAGTACTCTCATGAAAATTCAATTCTCTTCCCTGTATTTTTAAAAACTCATTAAACAGGTCGGGCACGGTGGCTCACGCCTGTAATCCCAGCACTTTGGGAGGCCGAGGCGGGCGGATCACGAGGTCAGGAGATCCAGACCATCCTGACTAACACGGGTGAAACCCCGTCTCTACTAAAAATACGAAAAATTAGCCGGGCGTGGTGGCACATGCCTGTAGTCCCAGATACTCGGGAGGCCAAGGCAGGAGAATGGCGTGAACCCGGGAGGCGTAGCTTGCAGTGAGCCAAGATCGCGCCACCGCACTCCAGCCTGGGCGACAGAGCAAGACTCCATCTCCAAAAAATAAAAATAAAAAACAAAAAACAAAAAAACAAAAACTAACTCCTAAAACATAGGTAATAAAAGAATACAGGATCTTCAAAAAAAGAAAACAGTCATTAAAAACTACAGAAATACTATAATAATTTGACATCTACTCCTTAATTTGGCAGTGCCATACACCATGGGTTGTAAGAAAGAAGAGAATATATAGTTTAAAAAATGCTATTAATACTTTTCTCCAGCCCCTAACCCAACCCACTCATGCAGTTTTTCTTCATAGAAGAAGAGATTTTGCTGGTTTGTTTAAACACAGACCAAAAATATGTTCACCTCTGCTCAATATTGTATAGCTGACATTCTCTTTAAATATATCTGTAGACCAATTGGATACAAATAAACATTCCAACACTATATATACATATATATATATATATATGTATATATGTACGTATATATATGTACGTATATATATATACGTATATATACATATATATATATATTCCATATCAGTTGTTTGGGGTTTCTTAATATTACAAATTTGTCTTACAAATTACATAGGAGTAGAAATTCTAGGTAAGGAGATATGCATAAGTTCAGATGTAATAGATAGATAATATCAAACTTTTTCCAAAATGTCTTACTAATTTTTATCCCCTCAGCAATATCTGAGAACTTCAGTCGCTTCACAATTTGATTTTGTCTGTTTTTTTTTTTTTTTTTTTTTTAGTCATTGTGATGAACATGTGTTGGTTTCTTATGGTTTGTTTTCAATTCCCTAGCAGTTAAGTTTGATATATATATATATATATATATATATATATATATATATATCTCCTGTGGAAATTGATAAGCTGATTCTAAACCTTATTTGGTAATGAGCACACAGAGAGAGCCAAGAGAAGCCAACAAACCTTGAAGACAAAAAAATAAGCAGAAGACTTACACTATCAGATATTATAAAACTATAGTAATTCAGATAGCAGAATGATGCAAAGACAAACAGGTCAATGAAATAGAATAAAGTATTCAGAAATAAGCCTTTACATCCATGACCATTTGACTTAGAACAGAGAGAACACGTCAAGTAGAGTGGAGAAAAAAAATGGTCTCTTTAGAAAATGATGCTGGTCAATTAAATATCCACATGGGAAATAAAAAAAAAAAAATCTTGACCTCCTACATCACTCCAAACACACAAAAAAATCCCATATGGACTGTAAATCTAAACATAAAATATGAAATAAAATTTTTGGAAATAAACTTAAAAAAGTCATGTTTTTGTGTTACTCAAAGAGCTTTTAAACAAGACAAAAAGTTGCTCAACATGAAAAAATAATAAATTGTATTAAAAGTTTCTGCTCATGAAAAAGCATAAAAAATAGGGTGAAAATGCAAGCCATACCTTGGGAGACGATATATCCAATACATATATTGAATAAAGATATGCAATCCAGAGTATATAAAGAATTCTAAAGACTTAATGAGAAAACAAAACAAACAACAGAATGTCCAGAGAAAAATGTTAGAAAGAGACCAAAATAGTCGCCACATAAAGAGGATACAAATACTGGCAAAAAATATATAAAGAGACATTTGACTATCTTAACTACTAGGGAATGGTAAACGAAGCACAAGAAACCATCACATGTTCATCACAGTGACTAAAAAAAAAAATCAGACAAAATCAAATTGTGAAGCAACTGAAGTTCTCAGATACTGCTGAGGGGATATAAATTAGTAAAACATTTTTGAAAACAGTTTGATATTATCTATCTATTAAGTCTGAACTTATGAATATCCCCTTACCTAGAATTTCTACTCCTAAGTATATTTGTAATATTAAGAAACCCCAAACAACTTATATGGACAGTATATAGGATATATTAACTGTAATATATTTGTACAATGAAATTCTCTAGAGCAATGAAAATGAATCAATTATTACTACATGCAATAATAACATAGATGAATCTCACAAATATAGTGTGAGAAAATGAATCTAAACAAAAAATACAATTTTCCTAAGTCTATAAAAATATCGTAAACAAGAAAAACAAATTTATGGTTGGAAGTCATACTAGTTATTCTTACGGGGATGTGGAGCAGGAACTGGTAATGCTCTGTTTCTTGACCTGGGCACTGGTTACACTACCGTGTTCACTTTGTAAATATTTATCTAGCTGCACACTTAGAATCTGTGTGATTTTGCATATGCAGGTTGCATTATGTATGCAGCTTGTAATAAAAATTATACATCAAAAATATTCTTTTAGGCTGGGCACAGTGGCTCATGCCTGTAATCCCAGCACTTTGGAAGGCCGATGCAGGCGGATCACAAGGTCAGGAGATCGAGACCATCCTGGCTAATACGGTGAAACACCATCTCTACTAAAAATACAAAAAATTAGCTAGACTTGGTGGCACATGCCTGTAGTCCCAGCTACTCGGGAGGCTGAGGCAGGAGAATCGCTTGAACCTGGAGGCGGAGGTTGCAGTGAGCTGAGATGGTGCCACTGCATGTCCAGCCTGGGCGACAGAGTGAGACACTGTCTCAAAAAAAAGAACAAAAAAATTCTTTTGATATCAGCATTCAACATATCTTGGGGTCTATTGGCTTCAGGTGTTGATAGTCTTTCAAATTACTATGAGCCTCACTGACTTTTGTCCTTTTCTAGATTACTGGGTTTCTAAGAGACCATAAATGTCTAGGGGGAGAAATCCTGGAAATGAGTAAAATGAAACATTATTAAAGAGAGAATTATCTTTATAAAAACTAGTGTAGCTACCACATAAAGTTTCTGGATCAACTTGATGGAGATGCCTAGTTTAGATGTTATTTTTGTTCACTAGAATGCATTTTTGTGAATCCAGGCATTTCATTGCCTGTTTTTGAAAAAAAAGGAAAAATAAAAAAATTTTAAAGTCTCTGCAATTCTCAGATTTTCAGTGAATTACAACTAACCAGTGCAAATTGTATTCTCTTTATGCATAAAATCTCTCTCCAGGCCTGCGGGTTTCCCTTAAGGTAAATTAATTGAAACTAATAGGAAGAATCATTTATTTCTTATGGCTTATTTGGAACTAAACTTTCTTCATAACGCATTTTAAGGAACTCTTGTACTTTACCGTTCTTATTGGAAATATTGATAGACAATTCAAAATTAAGATACATTTATAGAAGTATGAATAAACAATTTTTAAAAGCTCATTTTCCTCATTTTTTCCCCTTATATTCGTGTTATAGATCTCCTGTGTCAGGTCAGTACAGCACAAAGTTAATGGAGGTTCAAGACATTACAGGACATCTTCAGACAAAAGTAATTTTTATTTGCCCAATTTATCTTCTGAATTGTGCCTTGCAATGCAGCCTTCACTTTCAGAAAAATTCTGAGATTTTCAAAGGGAGAACCAAATGTCAGTATTCTTGCTCTACAGATGATGGAGGATGTGGCCTTTGAAACATAATATAGGAGAGTACACACAATCATCACTACTCTAAAACTTATAAAACCTCCTAAAAGTAAATGCAAGCTTACCTCCAAAAATAGTATTCCATACCTATACCTTGGATTGTTACACATTTAATCATCTGAGAGATACAAAGACATTTAATAAATTTCTAATACTGCTAGAGTGCACTCAAACTTTAAAATATATGAGCCACCAGCAAGTTTAGGAAAGGCAAAATTATTTGGCCATTTACCAAATAAACTACTTTATTTTCATGTATCATGTCCAATGGCTCTTCAAATTCATAAAAAGTCCTTAAACTCTCTACTTTAAAAATAAAGTATCCAGGCTGGTCGTTGTGGCTCATGCCTGTAATCCCAGCATTTTGGGAGGCCAAGGTAGGCAGACTGCCTGAGGTCAGGGTTTCGAGACCAGTCTGGCCAACATGGTGAAACCCTGTCTTTACTAAAAATAAAAAAAAAAAAAAAATACAAAAAAGTTAGCTGGGTGTGGCTTTCACCTGTAATCCCAGCTACTTGGGATGCTGAGGCAGGGGAATTGCTTGAACCAGGGAGGTGAAGGTTGCAGTGAGCCGAGATCATGCCAATGCACTCCACCCTGGGTGACAGAGCAACACTCCATATCAAAACAAACAAACAAAAAAGTTTCCAGTTATCAGAGCAGCTTTACATCTATGTTTTTTTTTTTTTTTTTTTTTTTTCCAAGACAGAGTCTCTGTCGCCCAGGCCGGAGTGCCGTGGTGGCATCTTGGCTCACTGCAACCTCAGACGCCTGGATTCAAGCAATTCTCCTGCCTCAGCCTCTTGAGTAGCTGGGATTACAGGCGCCTGCCACTGCACCCGGCTAATTTTTTGTAGTTTTTAGTAGAGACTGGGTTTCACCATCTTGGCCAGGCTGGTCTTGAACTCCTGACCTCGTGATCCACCCGCCCCGGCCTCCCAAAGTTCTGGGATTACAGGCGTGAGCCACTGGGACCGGCCTCATCGATTTTGAAACATCCAAGCTTCCCTCATTCTTCAGATAATTATAGTCTGGGAAAAGTAGTCCGATTTCTATTATAAGTAATACGAATTAAAGCAATTTTTAATTAAATTACATTCAAATTAATAGGCATAAATTGTTTGCTAGGAGAATGATATTTTTTGGTGTCCCTTCTACAATAACAAACAAACTGATTTGTGTGGAGAGGGGGAAGAAGAGTAAAACATATGCAGAATTATTTCATTGTATACTCAACTGACATCTAAAATAGACTTCATCTTGTCCACTTATATTAAAAGAACATAACAAGAATGTTTTACTTGTTCAGACTAATAAGGAGAAATGCTATGTATCAGCAACTGGTAATGTTTTTTATGGTTCTCAACTAGTACAGGAGAAAATGCAGGATTAGACTATTTGAAACGGAATATCAAGTTTCAGTTATATAGGAGGAATAAGGTAAAGGGATATATTGTACAACATGGTGACTATAGTAACAGCGATATATTCTTTAAAAATAAAATACAGAATACAGTGTAGAAACAGAATAGATTTTTTTGTAATCATCTGTCTGCATTTGTGCCACAGAATTTCAAAATGAATGTGAAGTATTTTCTAAAAATATATGATATAATCTAAAAATAATTGAAAGAAAAGATGATAGAGAGTAAACGTAAAATATATAAAGGAAATCAGAGAAAGTCAGTATACCACAATTTGTATTGCATTCATCTTCTAAAATTGCCAAAGATGGATCAAATATTTGACTTTGAGTGTCGGTGGAAAAAAACAAAAGGAAAATATTAAGTACAGTATAGCCTGTGATCATATAACAAAAATAGCCCAGTTGTTCAGGAAAAAAAAAATCTTCACATTTGATGTCACCAGTGAGGCTAAATAAATGTAAAACTATGATACATGGATAACATTCATAAAGCTGTCATCAAGTCTGAGTTTCTAATTTGGCAAGAAGTGAAACCCACAGGGAAGTCCAGGGTGATGTTATTCTGTGTTGTAATCAGCCCAAAAGAGTTTAATGTAAAATGTATTTTACTAATTTGAAATGATCATTCATGCAACATATGTTAAACAGGTTAAAAGACATGAGTATATGTAAAAATAAATAAATAAAATTTTAAGAAGTCATTATATGAAAAAGGTACTTGCACACACGTTTATAGCAGCACAATTTGCAATTGCAAAAAATCTGGAACTAGCCTAAATGCCCATCAACCAATGAGTGGATAAAGAAAATGTGGTATATATACACCATTGAATACTAGTCAGCCATAAAAAGGATTGAAATAATGGCATTTACAGCAACCTGGATGGAGTTGGAGGCCATTATTCTAAGTGAAGTAACTCAGGAATGGAAAACCAAATACTGTATGTTCTCATCTGCAAGTGGGAGCTAAGCTATGAGGACGCAAAGGCATAAGAATAATACAATGAATTTTGGGGACTCGGGGGACAGAGTGGGAGGAAGGTGAGGGGTAAAAGACTACACAATGGGTACAGTGTATGCTGCTTAGATGACAGGTGCACCAAAATCTCAGAAATCATCACTAAAGAACTTATCCATGTAGCCAAAAACCACTTGTTCTCCCCAAAATACTTTTTTGCTAAACTTTTTTTAAAACCCAGGGGTACAAGTGCAGGTTTGCTATATGGGTAAACTTGTGTCAGGGGGGTTTGTTGTACCCAAAAATTATTGAAATAAAATAAACTAAATTAAAATCAATAAATAAAATTTTAAACAAACACCAATTTGAAATGTTAAGCCCAATATATAATGTCTTTAAGTTGATGGGAAAACATAATGTCTGCTTAGATGAAATTTAAATTCTAGTAGGAAAATCATGCACACAGATAAACGATAACAGTATAATTGGTTTAAGTGCTAAACTAGACATATAGTGATTCAGTTACAGGGTCATAGTCAAGAAGGCAATGCACCCTCAGACACCTACATATGTTTGCTTTGTTCAAAGTACAAACCACACAAGGTCAAACACCGTGCCAAAACATGAAGGAAACCAGACGAGATCGGGCGCATTCAGGGTGGTATGGCCATAGATGGAAGGAAACCAGTGATTAGTAAGACCTTGTGAAAACACCTCTCCCTTGAAACCATGAGAGAGTTTCCTCATACTTGGCAATGGGGAACCAAAATTAGTGTTTTATTGGACCTTTACTTCAGGCTGGTTCTTGTTTGCATCTGTTCTATATGTAACTAGGAAGAAAATTGTCACAAAATAACTCACTAGCTTTCAAGTAACATAAACCACAAATACTGTAAAACATAAATGGTGATTTTGATTTCAGAACTAAGTAATCTACGCTATTTGACCTCTAAAATGTGGTTCTCAAGTATAACAGTTGTCACAGGACACTTGACATTGTAACAGTAAATAACACATAAATAAGCAAACCATCAGCTTAAAGATTTTAAAGGGCACCTGCTTCTACAGCAATATTTATGTGAGAAGATATCTGTGGCACAGAGTGATGGAGCATAAAGTCTCACAGAGAGATAAGAGCATGCCCAGAACTAAATCCAGGTGATTAGAATGTCAGTCCAGTGCTCTTCCACTGGAAACGTGGTTGAGCTTGGTCTCGGAAGCAGAATGCCAGGCTGTAAATTGTAGCCTCACTCCCAATTAGCTGCACATGTTGGGAAGGTTACTTATTGCTCCTGTGATGCACTGTTCTCTGTAAATTAAAGAGATGCTACTTGGGGAAAATACATTAAAAATTCAGAAATGTGCTGGAGATGTTTTACCTAAGACCCAGGTGAGCAGGTATAGGGCTAGAGACCAGGAGCCCCCAGGAGCCCCCAGGAGCCCTAACCTCTGTCTAGAAACATTATGTATTACCCTACATTGTTAACCTTGTACATTTCTATACCTTTTGCTACTAAGGAAATTTGCATCCTCTGACCATGACTGTGGCTTTTTTCTATCTACGGCATCACTCTGCTGAAACCTCTCATCACCAGTTTGTGCTTTTGAAAATGTAATAAACAATCAGCCATTAAGTGTTAAGTCTTTTTTCTTGCTGCTTTTTCACAATATTATTTTCTTTTAGTCCATAAATTTCTTAAATTTGGCATCTTTAATAATTCAAAAATAGAATATTCAAAATCTTTTTAACTTTCAGTAGAGATCAAATCAACATTATAACTCAATTCTTCTGACACTGTTTTTCCATATGTGCAACTTGTAAAGAATGAGATTAATCCTCACTGCATTAACTTCTGGAAAATATCTTCATAATTCAGAGTTTTTTAAAATTAATCTTGATCACATTTAACATCTCCCTGTATTTGCAATAAATGCTATTTTTGCAGTTAAGACAACATGCAATAAACTGGAAAAATTAGTTAACAATTTGAAAAGTGTTTTTAAAATCAAATCTTACTTGTTACCTTAACAGGGGGTGTCACAATTTACACAGTTCATCTCAAGTTGAAAAGAAATCGGTTGCCTTTTTACTTGTCTCCTAATTTTTCACAGAAAGTTAGTATGTTCTCTTATTTTCTAGCAGGATTCTACGCCTCATTTCTCCTGGGAAGCAATGTAAGAGGTTACAAGAAAAGTTCTTGAACTGAGGTAGACCTAACTTTAAATTCCAACTTCACTGGGTATTTGGCTGAGTAATACTAGGAAAGTTATCCAGACTTACTGAGCTTCAATTTTCCCAAAAGTGCAATAAGAAATAATTGCATCTACTGCATAAATCAATGTTTAAATTTACTTGTTTTATTTTAATTGATATTATTTTATTTATTCATTTTATTTATTTATTTAAAGAGTGTAGGCTAAAATAAGTAAATGACATTTCACAGTTCTCAGAAAAATAATAATGACAAATAAACCACAGTTATTATTATGAATTAGGGAATATTTATCCATTAACATTTCTTCAAAGCCCAGCAGAAACAAAAAGTTAATGTTCAAAGGCCTAGCTTCAACTTTCCTTCTTCACACAAAAAATTACAAATATTACAAGTATTCATCACTTTTTCTATTTCTTTTTTGTTGACTACATAGTTGCTTTTTTACAGTTCTTTCTATATTCTGGATACTGCTCCTTTGAGATATATATTTTTTAATAGATGTCGTGAGTATTTGCTTTTAACATATTGCTTCACTCAGTCATTTATAGCACCCTTGTTGCAGGAGTCTGCTATTCTGATGTAACCATATTCATCAGTCATTTTTCATTAGTGTAGGACAGGGGTCCCCAACCCTCAGGCCATGGACAACTACCAGTCGGTGACCTGTTAAGAACTGGGCCACACAGCAGGAAGTGAGTGGTGGGTGACTGAGTGAAGCTTCATTTGTATTAATAGCTACTCTTCATGGCTCACATAACCTCCTGAGCTCTGCCTCCTGTAAGATCAGTGGCAGCATCAGGTTCTTATAGGAACATAAACCCTATCGTGACCTGCGCATGAAAGGGTTCCAGGTTGCACAAACCTTATGAGAACCTAATGCCTGATGATCTGTCACTGTCTCTCATCACACCCAGATGGGACCATCTAGTTTCAGAAAAACAAGATCAGGGCTTCCACTGATTCTACATTATGGCGAGTTTTATCATTATTTCATTATATATTACGATGTAATAATAATAGAAATAAAGTGCATAATAAATGTGATGCACTTCAGTCATCCCCAAACCATCCCCCTCTGCACTCCTGTCTGTGAAAAAATTGTTTTCCACAAAACCAGGCCCTGGTGCCAAAAAGGTTGGGGACCGCTGGTGTAGGACATTTCAGTTAATGATGTTCAACTAATGGCCTGCCCTAGAGAAGGAGGACTCAGAATTGTGGGGAGGCTTTTTCAACATACAAGGTAATGCAGATTCTATATGGCCTCCTGACAGGCTGAGAGGATTAGCATGTTCCCACAATGCACATCACTCCCATATTGTTGCAACTGGTGTTTTATGAAATAAAATGTTTAAAAACGCAGTACATAGTCAAGAAAAATAAATTGACTAATATAAATCTTTACTTCTGAATTTGAACATAAGCTTCACATTCATAAGAGCTTCAAAGGAATGAATTAAATTAAATATAGTTTAAAAAATTTTAAAGTTTAAAACATTTTATAAATTAAAAATAGTTTAAAAAAGGTGTTCACATTCTTTCAATAAAAGTGATGCCCTCTCTCCTCTTTTTCTTTACTGTGGTAAAATGTACGTAACACAAAAGTTAGCATTTCAACCACTTTTCAGTGTACAGTTCATTGACATTAAGTGTATTCACATTGTTCTGCAAATACCACTGCCATTCATGCTCAAAACGTCTTCTTCTTCCCAAACGGTAACAGAGTAGCCATTAAACAACAGCTTCCCATTTACCTCCTCCCACTTCACCCCTAAACCCTGGCAGCCAATATTCTGCTTTCTGTCTTTATGAATTTGCCTACTCTAGGTAAGTAGAGTCATACAATATTTGCCCATGTCTAGGTTATTTCACAGAGCATGATGTCCTCATTAATCCATGATGTAACATGTATTAGAATTTATTTCCCTTTAGGACTAAATAATATTCCATTGTATGTGTATATCACATTTTGTTTATTCATTCATCTATAGATGAACATATGTGTTGTTTCTTTTCCCTTTTTTTTTTTTTTTTTTTTTTTTTGAGACAGAGTCTCGCTCTGTCGCCCAGGCTGGAGTGCAGTGGCGTGATTTCGGCTCACTGCAAGCTCCGCCTCCTGGGTTCATGCCAATCTCCTGCCTCAGCCTCCCGAGTAGCTGGGACTACAGGTGCCCACCACCACGCCTGGCTAATTTTTTGTATTTTTAGTAGAGACGGGGGTTTCACCGTGTTAGCCAGGATGGTCTGGATCTCCTGACCTCGTGATCCGCCCGCCTCGGCCTCCCAAAGTGCTGGGATTACAGGCATGAGCCACCGCACCCGGCCCCATATGGGTTGTTTCTAATTTTTAGTTGTTGTAAATAGCACTTCTATGAACATGGGTGTACAAATACATGATCAAGTCTTTGGTTTCAATTATTTTAAGTATATAGTAAGAGTTATATTTTAACTGATATTAACTAATTGTTTTAAAGACTAAAGAAAAACGAATTACCATTGGATTTTCTTTTCGCACTCCTCATAATTAAAATGACTGATTACTTGTCACTAACGGAAATCAACTTCGTAGAACCAGTTGTGACACAGATACCCAGCATGAAACCATAGTAAATATAGATCTTCTCAGATAACTTTTTGTTCTGTGCACTTTTGATACAATTCATGTACTTAAATGTGACATGAGCCTTCAAATTATTGAGCCAGAAATCAAGTATCTACATGTCTGTATATATCTTTGTCCTAGAAAATCCTCAGGAGACCTCCCTTAACAATCACTGCTCAAAAATGACTCACATATCCACGTGCAAACCAATCATTTGCAAAGGTAACAGGACAGGCATGATTGGCTCTGACCAGCCATTTTTCACCACTTTGGAATAGGCTTCACTTCCCCTGAAGCACATGATCCCCAAAAATAATACCTAAATAAAACTGAAATTCTGTTAAAGTGTGAGGTAGGAGAAATAGCCAACTAATGGTGTCTACTATACTCAGACAATGTGAGTATATTAAAACCAGAGACTTCACCTAAATTAACTCAGTGGTACAAACAGAATAATTTAAAACTCACCTTCACCTAAATTTCAGATAATTATATTATTTTCCACTCACTATAGTATAAACATGAACTGAAACTAAATTAGGTATTTTGTCCATCTAGATTTAATTATAACATATGTTTTTATTTATTTACTTTTTTTCGGGGGGGGGTGGTCTAGTTTACTAGAATGTGGCTTCTGTAAGGGTAGAGAGAGCCTATTTTTGTTGCTTCCATATTTTCAGTACAGAGTAAGAACACAGTATATATTTTCTTTAAAAAAATGAACTTAGAACCTAAGTTTTTAAGTATATTAGGTATACCACTTCAGAGCAGATATACAATTGTCTTTATTATGTTATTACTTATATTGGATAATTCACTTCAACAATGTTTTTATTGTGTCACTTTACCTGTAGCATATTTTAAAAATAATGCCCCAAATTCACTACTCATCTTTTAAGCTAATATAGCCTTATTCACTGCTATTTCAAAGTCTTATCTTACTTTGTCAATCTTATTCTATGTCACATTTCTTCTTTCCCTTCTTACACAAAGCACATATTTACATTTAACTTTTATCATTCTGCGTTATATCATGGACCAAAAAAAATTAACTTGTATGCATGGTAGATGATCTACCATTACCTAATATTGTATAGCAATTGGTAGAAACACCTCTTTCACAATCATGGGCTACTTCCCATTTTTAAAATCATCTTTCCTTCCTTCAAACACCACAGCTGAACTGGTCCTGATTCAGTGCTGTTTGCATTAATATTTTTGTTGCTCTAAGTATAAAATGAGAAGAACTGCTTAACTCATGCTCTGATTAAATTCTGGAAAGGAGATTTCAGGCTTCAAGGCTAAAGGCAGCAACTGGAATTGTTAAACATTAAGTATTTATTACTCCCTTCCGCTCGTAAATCCCTTGCCTCCTATCACTCAGATACGCTCTGCACTTTGTTTCTTCTGAGTTTTGGCTTACTTAGTTTGTTTCCTCTACTTAGACTGTGTCTTCCTCACATATGTTTCACTTTGGAAAAAAAAATCTAACCACCCTTCAGTGCTAGTCTTAAATTCTTCATCCTCCAGGAAACCTTTATGTTCATTCACCAACTGAAATGTTTTCTTCCTTTGAATCCACAAGACAATTTGCGCTCTGCTACTTGACTTTATTATTATAGCATACACTTGCATAAACACATTCTTTCTCTCTCTCTCTAAACTTTCTCTCTCTCTCTCTCTCTCTCTCCCCCCCTCTCTCTGTCTGTCTCTCTCTCCCCTCTTTCTCTCACTATTGTATAAAGTACCTAGTATATTATATTGCATGAAGTTGGTTTCCTAGAAAGGACCCCTTTCCCTAGTCTGAATTACCCACTGATAGTTTGAAGGGGGAGGGTTCCTTAGAGTTCTCAGTAGTCTGGAGACACAATCAATCCCAACACTGTATACTTCATCTGAAGAAGTCCATGCATTCTGTCCAGGGCATATGTCCTCACCCTGATGCTTCTTTCAATGCAATGTCTTTACACACCTTATTAAGACTCAGTTTCTCACCTGACTTTTACACTACTACCAAACTTTCGCCAGAATCCCTTGGAAATCACAGACCATCATCAACAAAATCCCCTAAATGTTCAACTTTCCCTCTGAGTATTACCTATACTTTTTGATTCCTTCTTTCTCCCTCTAACCATCCTCGACAAAAGATGCTGCTTTCTGTAGATCTCCCAGTAGTGGCTACCATAATTTACATAGCACAGAGCCCAGGAGTACAGGGCAAGCATCCTTCTGTCTCCTTTGACACTCTGTCCCAATTCCTCTGAAGTAAATCCCATCAGATAATGCCACCCACTAAATTTCCTTGTTATAGTCATCACATGCCTTTTGAGTAATCTCCTTTATTAATGGACTAGTTTAACATTTGGCTTATCTTTTTTTCCTACATCACACTATAGGATTAGTAACATAAGTGGTGATGTAAAAATCCACAAGGGCATTCTAATCACAGTAGCATCTGACAGTCAACGATCCTCTTTTATCAATCTTGTTCTTTCCATGGTTCAGGGACCTTGCATTTTCCCTGTATTCCTGTCACCTCATGGCAGCAACATCTCAGTATCCCCAAACCCTTCTTCTCCTGATCTCTAAGTGCTGAAATTCCCAAAGCTTAGTCTTCGTATTTTTTTTGTCAAACCCATTTTCAGGGTGATTTCATCTTGGCCCCTTATTTCTCTCTCAAGTCTAGATCAGCATTTGCAAATGCCTTGCCAAGAATTAGGTTTCTGTATTGAAAAAGCCTCCCAAACCTTGATTACTGCCATCACAATAGGCAGTGGAGGAGGTATGGGGATCTGTTCAGGACAAAAACCACCAAGTCATTCTTGATTTTTCCTAATGTCCCATGTATGATTCATCGGCAAATCCTATATGTTCTATCCTTTAACCCCCTTCTCAAGGTCTCCATAGCCTATCAACGTCGTTCAAGCTACCGTCAAATTTTTCCTGGACTCGTCATGCATTAAACTCTACTTGTCCAAAACACTGTGTTACCCATTCCCAACATCCCCCATGCAGCATCTACAATAATCTTTTTATATTGGATGATGTCATAACTGTTTAAATCATTCAAAGGCTTTCTTTCCAACACACCTAGAACGAATCCCATATTCTAGCCCCAGGTACATTTCTGATCTCATTTCCTACCAGACTTTTTCATTCACACTAGCCTCCAGCTCCCTGTCTACCTTTAGGGCTTTACAGAGAAATCCCAGAATGCTGCTCACTTAAGAATCCATGTCTTGATCTTTTCCTTTATTCAGGTCACTGTTTCAGTTTTATCCAAAAAGAACTATCTTAACTTTCTTATCTAAAATTGCACCACTCTCATTCTTCCCTTATCAAACTTTTTTGTTTCCTTAGAATTTATCACTACATAACTTACTCATCTATTCATTTCTTCAACTAGTTTGTCTGCATTACTCGGGTGGAAACTTTGTTTGTTTGTTTGCTTTGTCAATTGCTCTATATCAAACTTCTAGAACAGTGTTTAGCACATTATAGGTACTCAAACATATTTGACTAAATGATAGAACTAAATCAATTAAGAGTTAATGAGACTAAAATATAAAATAAGATAAAAATCAGCTACAAAGGATTCCTACTTGTGGATAACAACATAAATTAAATGTAATGAATGACAGATTTGTGGACTACTTTTAGTTAAACTGGTGATTCAGGTCAGGGGTCTGTACTTAGCATAGTGGAAGAGCTATTTTGCAAGCCCAACCCAATTAGGTTGAATTTTTTTTCTTACTGAGAGTGTTTGATAGGTGATAAAACTACACGTAAGAAGAGCTCTAATCATGGTGCTCCTGGTAATAGGAAAAGAAAGGCAATTACTCATGTGCAAAACTAGAAGCAATCAAAAGCTAGATTTGCCAGAGATGTTTAGGTTTTATGTGCAATTTACAGCTATTTACAAGTTAACCATTGAAATGCTGTCCAAAATTAACTCCGCAATTGAGAATCCAAAATGTTTAGCATCTAAACTTTTTCCTCAGTAAAATTCAATCTTTAAAATTTTTTCTTAGTAATAAAACATTAGTAATACACAGTTGATTAGAAATAGTCATAAACATTTGATTATAAACTATTATAAGAGTAATTAGTAATAAACATTTGATGATAAATAAAGAAAAAAATTGAAAACTTACAACTTTGGTCTTAGATACTGCATTTTTGAAATTCCAAGTAAGCCAACATTCTCTGAGACATCAAGGTTTTTGTAACTTTTAGTAAAGTACTAAAACTGGTAGTGTTATTTTTTTACTTTCATTCAATCAGCATTTAAAATTCACAATTTCAGAAAAAAATGGTTAATTTATTCCACTATTTCTTCTATTAGAAGTGGTAATTTTATATTTGTCATTAGAGATTTCATTTTGAGAATCTTTTGAGTTATCCTACTGGAGGAATACAAACCATTAAGAAAAGATATACATTTCAACATCTTATTCAATGTAAAACATCGTAAGTATTTTGTTACCATTTTCATAGTAAAATGAAACTCAAGAAGTTGCTTAGTGTTTACCTGATATAATCTGTATTGAGTTTAGATAACTAAACTAATATAGCTCCAAGTTTCAGGCTTTTGTTTATACAGCATAAGTATGCAGTTAATGCAAACTACAGGCTTACAGCTTATCTGCAAAACCTGAGCTTTTACTTTAGTTCTGTATATTAACATAATTCCGCATACCTTCACTCTGAGTACAGAAGTAAACATTCTTGCATCTTCAGATACACCTCCGATGTAGAATTTTTTCTGAAACACTGGGGGATGATTATTTTCATCCTGAATCTCAATGTATACTTTAGCTGTATTGCCTGGAGGACAAGAAACGATGCATTTTTTATTGGTGGTTATTCATGGGGGAAAAAATGCACTGAAGTAAATATTTGCTGCACTTTTTTTTGGAAACATTGAAAATAAATCAAAAGCCATTTCTAGATGCCATGCCTAGCACCCCCAAATTCAGGGGACACTGATAATGATGCTTCTGGTATAAAAATGTTAAGTTGCTGTTATTTCTTTTAATTACAATGTCCTGGTAGTTCACTTTACTTGATTTAATTTGGCACTAAAATACTGCACCCTGTTAATTTTAATGAAACAACTCTACTGTTCACGTTCACAAACACTTCACACACAATACCAGTTATACCAAAGGGACACAAATATATAAACCCCTTATGAAATAGTAGAAACTGCCATAAACTATTATATGAATATATATTTATTCTTAAGTATAAAATCAGCAATGGCATTTCTTTAGCTTAAAATTGTACAATAACTTTTATGTTTTAAGACTAAAAGTAACAGTGTTCGGGTGAGGTGTTTATTTCCACAAATGGAAAACAAGTTTTATCATGCCTTGGAAACTGTCAATGTTAGAGGCTAACATTCATTGAAAACAATGGAGCTGAAGATATGATTATGACTCATAAATGCTGCATTTTACCATTTAAATAACAGTAAATGTACCATAAATGATATGTCATCATCAAATGTTAGAACCTCCCTCAAATCATCACACCTTTAATGAGAAATGTGGTACTTGTCACTAGTCCAATAATGACCTTTTAAAAAACAATTTAATATGTATAAAAATAACTTATAAACCAAATAAAATGGGAAATAAGTGGCTATTCATTTTGTAAAAAAATAGTCAAATAAGTATTGCTAATGTATTACATAAGTCGACTTTTCTGATTCATTTCAGTTATGAACAAACGGCAATTAACGTACATACTATTTATCAAGGATGCCCTTATTTTGGTGTTTTACCTGTGTTTAATGCCTCCTGTACAATTTTAAGTAATTAACACCAGCCTACTTGCAGGATACATCATGGGTATACATTTGTATTTGTTGAATAAATTAATGAATGAATAGCTTGTATTAGTAAGAACTTAGAAATAGTCTTTTTTTTTTTTTTGCTTGCCCTTGGAAAGGTCAGACAGAACAGTGAGTTAACCTCAAGATTTTGCTCCTATCCTGCTGCTACTCATTCAGCTTTTCTCTGTTTGTCATCTGTGACCTGGAAGAGGTAGAATCAAGAGGAAAATCATGCTAGCGCAACAGATTAGAGAACCAACAGCGAAATAGGGCTAATAGCAGATTATGCTTCTCTATCCTGCAGTGCCAGGGCTCTGACTTGTACCTTAGTCAGCCACCACAAATCAGAATTCACCCAAAATGAAATCATTTTTAGTTCAGTAGCAGACCACTTTTATCTCTAGAATAAAAAATGCGAACAGCTCTAAATTTAAAAATAAAAAGGAATTTTAGAATATGTCACCTTTCCAATAACTTCTTTGCACTTTCATTCAGAAACATATACAATTCAAATGTGCTATTTCTTTTCAGAACTCTTAGAGTGACAGAGGTCTCGGAAAAATACTGATGACGTATATTTTCTTCTTTAAATGGGATGAGTCATTTAAAATGTTATACAATTTGCAAAGAACAAGAACTTTGTCATGACCTGTTCCCTTACCTCCCAACCCTAACTTCATATCTGGATGGTAACCAAATCCTACATGTCAGCCTCATAAGCAGGTAAATCATCACCTAATAAATATATCTTGTGTCATTTTTCTCTCAACTCCACAGCTGCCCATATACTTAAGTCTGTTGTTGTCTCACCTGAGTGACTAAACGTCATCTGCTCCCCTGTCGTGTCTTTCTAATGTGTCCTGCATTCTGATATAACAAAGACATCACAAAATACAAATAGGATACATTAAATCAAATGTTAAACCAACCACCATTCATATGTACATTTTTTTCTTTTTCTTGTTTTTTGAGATGGAGTCTCCCTCTGTCGCCCAGGCTGGAGTGCAGTGGCACGATCTCGGCTCACTGTAAGCTCCACCTCCCGAGTTCATGCCATTCTCCTGCCTCAGCGTCCCTAATGGCTGTGACTACAGGCATGCGCCACCATGGCTGGCTAATTTTTTGTGTTTTTTTAGTAGAGACGGGATTTCTCCATATTGGTGAGGCTTGTCTCGAACTCCTGACCTCAGGTGATTCACCCACCTCGGCCTCCCAAAGTTCTGGGATTACAGGCATGAGCCACCATGCCTGGCCGACAATTCTTAAAAATACCATGTGTATATTCATATCCATACTTATATGTATACTTTGTGCATATAAGTTTAAGATTCAAATACCAAATTGTTCCTATGAAAGCTCCTTTGATTCAGTGGCCTGTATCAGATATTAAGTGGTTTGTGGGAAAAGGCCTATGGATAACCCAAAATATGATTATATAACCTGAACATAATGGGGAGAGATGATTATACTTAATTATAATATTTTAATTAAATGATATTTATTTATATGAAAACTAATGACTATACAATACAAAATTCCAGAATACTTCACAACCAGCACACAAACAAAATCTCAAGAACATTGTTTAGACTTAAAAGAACTTATACATTTATTTATTTTAAAAAGCCACGATCATTTAGTTCTTTTCACAAAAGAGAAACAGTTATAATGCGATTTATAACAATACTGTATCATGAATTTTGAAATTTATGATGTTAGCTATATAGCTAATTATGTAGGATAGTTTGTAATAGTCAACTAAAAATAAATATAAAGTTGTGAAAAAGGTGTTTTCATTAAGTTTGTGACTTAGATGTTAGAATAAAAAAAATTGTTAACTTTTATTTTCCATAATGTAAAATAGACTAGTCTTCCTTTTTTTTTGCTTCTCCCTGATAACTTTAGGCAGTTGTTATGTATCCCTCCTTTGAAATGCTATAGTGCACTAAAAATGTTTCTTTCTATAAATAACCTTTCCAGAGCTTGGTTTACATTGCATTTAGTTATAAGCATGATTTTATTCTTATTAGATTTCAATATTCTTAAAGATGGAAATTGTATCTCCTACATCTATCAGTACTATAATGCCTCAGTTTGTAGGTAATTTTTCCGCTCAGATATTATTGTAACAAAATTTCTTAATTTTTGTTGAACAAAAAAGTTGATATTCAATTAATTTGTTAGCTTTCTTTGATTATAATCATGAGATTATGATTAACTGAAACAAAAAGTTAACTCTTAGAAGGATATGAGGGAGCTCACTAAATCAAAGTGAAGTAAGTCCAAAGAAGGCTTTTGGTACCACAAAATAATCAGGAAGTTGTAGAGCCTTTAAAGCAGCAGATGTTTGATTTTCTTGCAGATGAAATAACAGCAAACTCTCTTCTTTTATGTTATTTTACCCCACCCCTTATTCCTCTTTTTTTTTTTTTAAAGAAACAAACCAAAAAACAACCCACTAGGCTTAAGAATCATACCCTGGGGACACATTACCTGACTGTCCTAGTTTGGGTCATGTGCTTGCTCCTTGTCTCGGGAAGGAGAAGTCACCAGATTATCCACTTGAGAAGTCACTGGGACAATTATAAGAAATTGTAGTGTGTCTACTTAAAGAATGTAAAATAAATGTTGGCCAGTAAGAAAAGGAAAAGCAAATAAGTATACACCTATAGTTAAATCACTAGAACAGCGTTCTTTTTGACTTTTTTATTCATGTGTATACAATGTACATGACATCATCAATTTCCTTGGCTCACGTGCTTCCCCACTAAGGATTGTACCATGTTCTTCCACCAAATTTGGATATTGATTATTTCAAGGCAGAAGCTTGGAAGCAACTCTGATTTAAATTCTTTTAAGATAGCCTGCTTTTTATCTCCTTGAGTACTTACAAAAACTTTTTTTCCATGTTGTATCCTTTATTTAATGTAGACATCAAACACATAACAAAAGAAAGATACTAGAAAGAGAAAGGAAAGCACAGATAGAAAAATAATGTTAAGGGAACAACGTGCGTGCCTAATATCCTAGTATTCCCCTCCAGTCTCCCTTCTGGCTCATCTAAACAATGCAAGTATTGGAAAGAGAACCACAAACAGTGAAAGAAATTACAAAGTAGGCAAAAAAGTTATTTGGAAAGTGTTTTGGTTAAGAGACATTATAATTTTTCTGTGTGCTTTGGGGCACCCTGCCTTATTTTTCTTCCATTATTAACTTTTTTCTCCAATTTTCTATGGGACAATCTTTTCTTTGGCTAGAACTTTTGGCTTTAGTAAGCCAGAAGTTTTAAAAATGACTCCTGAGGTAAGAAAATGTGAGATACCTTCTTGCAATGTTTTAAAGAAAGAGAAAATAATACTTTTATGTAGTCAAGCTCAGGGGAAAATGTAAGTCTTAGTATAGTTACCTCCTTGAATAGCACTTCTGTTCTATTTTAGACATTTAAACATGGTAGAAGGAGTTCAGAAGAGTGATTTTAAATACCCATTAACCTCAACTTGACTCTATGATTTTTAAGACCAAATTTAGTTTGATTTTTCCCTTCCCTTACTTTTAATAATCAAGACTGTGATGCTAGTTTTTTCTTTTTAGGAAGGCCCTATTATCCTCAAGATGAATCCATTTCATTTATCCACATGACTAATCTAGTGCCTACACTGCACTGGATTTTCAAAGAAAGCCTTACTGAATAAGAAGCCAATGAGTTAAAAGTGTTCTCAACTGGGATCAATTTGGCTGCTCTAGAGCCATTTTTGGTAGTCACAACAGTGTGGATAGGGGAACGTAGTGCTACTGGAATTAAATGAGTAGAGGTCAGGAATGCTGAGAAATATTCTGTGATGAACAGAACAGGCTCTTACCCCAAACGAACAAACAAACAAACAAAATATTTGGGCCAAAATGCCATTAGTGATGAGGCTGAGAAACCCCAAGTTAAATAACAAGAGAAAGAGGAATTAGATGAGTTAAGATAAAATGGAAAGTTTCCAAATGCTATAGTAATACCCTCTCCTCAATCCATCTGCATGCACATGCCTTTAATGTGGAACTTATCAAAATATGCTGTAATTATTTGATCACACATTGGTTATACTCTTTTTTGACTGTGTCCTATAAAGTCAAGGGCTCAAGCCTGTTTACCTCCACTCTTGTCACTGCCTTCTGGCCTCTGTTCCTGACATTCTCTCCATCTAAAATATTCTTAATTCCAAGCCATTTCTCTAGTCATTGCCAGTAAATATACATCACAGAAATATTTATTCCTGTACTTGGGAATGTAGAAGTTTAGTCTGATTAAAAAACATACACTAGACTATATTTTCCTCAAACCTTAAAGGAAAGGACTGTGCTTTTCTTATTGTTACGTATCGTTGCCTAACACATTAAATGATTTTTAAAATTGTTATCATGATAAATGATTTATAGATTCTTCAAACAGTCCTATTGCAGAGAATTTTTTAAATGCTTGGAATACCAGATTTATATTTGTTAATTTGTTGGTATCAGGAGATTGAAGTCAGTTCCTCACTTTAAAAACACACAAACAATTTTTTATGCTGTTTTTCTTTTAAGACAATTTTTGTTTAAGCTTTACGGGTATATTAATTATGGAAGCATTGTGACTTCCACATAGTAGGTGATATGGTTTGGCTCTGTGTCCCCACCCAAATCTCATCTTGAACTATAATCCTCACGTATCGACGGAAGAACCTGGTGGGAGGTGATCAGATCATGGGGGCAGTTTTCCCCAATGTGTTCTCATGTAGTGAGTTTGCACGAAATCCAATGGTTTTATAAGGGGTGCTTCCCCCTACACTCCCTCTTTCCTGCTGCCTTGTGAAGAAGGTACTTGCTTCTCTTTCCCCTTCCACCATGATTACAAGTTTCCTGAGGCCTCCCCAGCCATGTGGAACTGTGAGTCAATTAAATCTCTTCTCTTTATAAATTACCCAGTCTCGGTTATTTCTTTATACCAGTGTGAAAACAGACTAATACTGTAGGTGTTCAATAAATGTTAAATTAAATTGTAATTGCTACCACTTCACTACTCCCAAGGGTCCTCTTAAATAAAATAAATTACTCTATTTTATTCCTGTAAATTAAATGAGGTAACAGATTTTTAAGCATTTAAAAATCAAATAACAGACACCCCCATTCCAAGACAGCTGAATAGGAACAGCTCCAGTCTGCAGCTCCCAGCGTGCTTGGCGCAGAAGACGGGTGATTTCTGCATTTCCAACTGAGGTACCTAATTCATCTCACTGGGACTGGTTGGACAGAGGGTGCAGCCCACAGAGGGCAAGCCAAAGCACGGTGGGACATCACATCACCCAGGAAGCAAAAGGGGTTGGGGGATTTCCCTTTCCTAGCCAAGGGAAGTCATGACAGATTGTATCTGGTAAATGGGGACAGTGCCACCCAAATGCTGCGCTTTTCCAATGGTCTTAGCAAATGGCACACAAGGAGACTATACCCACACCTGGCTCAGTGAGTCCCATGCCCACGAAGCCTTGCTCACTGCTAGTGCAGCAGTCTGAGATCAATCTGCGAGGCAGCAGCCTGGCAGGGGGAGAGGAGTTCACCATTGCTGCTGCTTGAGTAGGTAAACAAAGTGGCTGGGGAAGCCCAAACTGGGAGGAGCCCACCGCAGCTCAACAAGGTCTGCTGCCTCTGTAGACTCCACCTCTGGGGGCAGGGCATAGCTGAACAAAAGGCAGCAGAAACTTCTGCAGTCTTAAATGTCCTGGTCTGACAGCTCTGAAGAGAGCAATGGTTCTCCCAGCACGGTATTTGAGCTCTGAGAACAGACAGACTGCCTCCTCAAGTGGGTCCCTACCCCAGTGTAGCCTAACTGGGAGGCACCTCCCAGTAGGGGCCGACTGACACTGCATACAGGTGGGTGGCTCTCTGGGATGAAGCATCCAGAAGAAGGACCAGGCAGCAATATTTGCTGTGCTGAAGCCTCCGCTGGTAACACCCAGGCAAACAGTTTGGAGTGGAGCTCCAGCAAACTCCAACAGACTTGCAGCTAAGGGACCTGACTGTTAGAAGGAAAACTAACAAACAGAAAGGAATAGCATCATCATCAACAAAAAGGACACCCACACCAAAACCCCATCTGTACGTCACCATCATCAAAGACCAAAGGTAGATAAAAACCACAAAAATGGGAAGAAACCAGAGCAGAAAAGCTGAAAATTCTAAAAACCAGAGCACCTCTTCTCCTCCAAAGGATCACAGCTCCTCACAAGCAATGAAACAAAGCTGGATGGAGAATGACTTTGATGAGTTGACAGAAGTAGGCTTCAGAAGGTTGGTAATAACAAACTTGTCCGAGCTAAAGAAGGATGTTTGAAGCCATCACAAGGAAGCTAAAAACCTTAAAAAAAGATTAGACGAATGGCTAACTAGAATAAACAGTGTAGAGAAGACCTTAAATGACCTGATGGAGCTGAAAACCATGCACGAAACTACATGACACATGAACAAGCTTCAATAGCCATTTTCATCAAGTGGAAAAAAGGGTGCCAGAGATTGAAGATCAAGTTAATGAAACAAAGTGAAAAGAGAAGTTTAGAGAAAAAAAGAGTAAAAAGAAATGAACAAAGCCTCCAAGAAATATGGGACTATGTGAAAAGACCAAATCTATGTTTGATTGGTGTACCTGAAAGTGATGAGGAGAATGGAACCAAGCTGAGAAACACTCTTCAGGATATCATCCAGGAGAACTTCCTCAACCTAGCAAGGCAGGCCAACATACAAATTCAGGAAAAACAGAGAACACCACAAAGATACTCTTATTCCAAAATTGACCACATAGTTGGAAGTAAAGCACCCCTCAGCAAATGTAAAAGAACAGAAATCACAAGAAACTGTCTCTCAGACCACAGTGCAATCAAATTATAACTCAGGATTAAAAAACTCACTCAAAACCGCATAACTACATGGAAACTGAACAACCTGCTCCTGAACGACTACTGGGTAAATAACAAAATGAAGGCAGAAATAAAGATGTTCTTTGAAACCAATGAGAACAAAGACACAACATACCAGAATCTCTGGGACACATTTAAAGCAGTGTGTAGAGGGAAATTTATAGCACTAAATGCCCACAAGAGAAAGCAGGAAAGATCTAAAATTGACACCCTAACATCACAATTAAAAACTAGAGAAGCAAGAGTAAACAAATTCAAATGCTAGCAGAAGGCAAGAAATCAGAGCAGAACTGAAGGAGATAGAAACACAAAGAACCCTTCAAAAAAATCAATGAATCCAGGAGCTGGTTTTTTGAAAAGATCAACAAAATTGATAGACTGCTAGCAAGACCAATAAAGTCTTGCACCATCACAAGACTAAACCAGGAAGAAGTTGAATCTCTGAATAGACCAATAACAGGCTCTGAAATTGAGGCAATAATTAATAGCCTACCAACCAAAAACAAAGTCCGGGACCAGACAGATTCACAGCCAAATTCTAATAGAGGTACAAAGAGGAGCTGGTACCATTCCTTCTGAAAATATTCCAATCAATAGAAAAAGAGGGAATCCTCCCTAACTCATTTTATGGGGCCAGCATCATCCTGATACCAAAGCCTGGCAGAGACACAACAAAAAAAGAGAATTTTAGACCAATATCCCTGATGAACATCGATGTGAAAATCTTCAATAAAATACCCGCAAACTGAATCCAGCAGCACATCAAAAAGCTTATCCACCACGATCAAGTCAGCTTCATCCCTGGGATCCAAGGCTGGTTCAACATACACAAATCAATAAACGTAATCCATCACATAAAGAGAAACAACAACAAAAACCACATGATTATCTCAATAAATGCAGAAAAGGCCTTTGACAAAATTCAACAGCCCTTCATGCTAAAAACTCTCAATAAACTAGGTATTGATGGAACATTTCTCAAAATAAGAGGTATTTCTGACAAATCCACAGCCAGTATCGTACTGAATGGGCAAAAACTGGAAGCATTCCCTTTGAAAACTGGCACAAGATAGGGATGCCCTCTCTTAACACTCCTATTCAACATAGTGTTGGAAGTTCTGGCCAGGGCAATCAGGCAAGAGAAAGAAATAAAGGGTATTCAGTTAGCAAAAGAGGAAGTCAAATTGTCCCTGTTTGCAGATGACATGATTGTATATTTAGAAAACCCCATTGTCTCGGCCCAAAATCTCCTTCAAGCTGATAAGCAACTTCAGCAAAGTCTCAGGATACAAAATCAATGTGCAAAAATCACAAGCATTCCTATACACCAATAACAGACAAAGACCCAAATCATGAGTGAACTTCCATTCACAGTTGCTTCAAAGAGAATAAAATACCTAGGAATCCAACTTACAAGGGATGCGAAGGACCTCTTCAAGGAGAACTACAAACCACTGCTCAGCAAAATAAAAGAGGACACCAACAAATGGAAGAACATTCCATGCTCATGGATAGGAAGAATCAATATTGTGAAAATGGCCATACTGCCCAAGGTAACTTATAGATTCAATGCCATCCCCATCAATCGGCCAATGACTTTCTTCACAGAACTGGGAAAAACTACTTTAAAGTTCATATGGAACAAAAAAAGAGCCCACATATCCCAGACAATCCTAAGCAAAAAGAACAAAGCTGGAGGCATCATGCTACCTGACTTCAAGCTATACTACAAGGCTACAGTAACCAAAACAGCATGGTACTGGTACCAAAACAGAGATATAGACCAATGGAACAGAGCAGAGCCTTCAGAAATAACACCACACATCTACAACCATCTTATCTTTGACAAACTGACAGAAACAAGAAATGGGGAAAGGATTCCCTATTTAATGAATGGTGCTGGGAAAAGTGGCTAGCCATATGTAGAAAGCTGAAACTGGATCCCTTCCTTATATCTTATACAAAAATTAATTCAAGATGGATTAAAGACTTAAATGTTAGATCTAAAACCATAAAAACCTAGAAGAAAACCTAGGCAATACCACTGAGGACTTAGGCATGACTAAAACACCAAAAGCAATGGCACCGAAAACCAAAATAGACAAATGAGATCTAGTTAAAATAAAGAGCTTCTAGCCGGGCGCGGTGGCTCACACCTGTAATCCCAGCACTTTGGGAGGCTGAGGCAGGCGAATCACGAGGTCAGGAGATTGAGACCAACCTGGCTAACATGGTGAAATCCCGTCTCCACTAAAAGATACAAAAAAAAAAAAAAAATTAGCTGGGCATTGTGGTGGGCGTCTGTATTCCCAGCTACTCGGGAGGCTGAGGCAGGAGAATGGCGTGAACCCGGGAGGCAGAGCTTGCAGTGAGCCAAGATGGCGCCACTGCACTCCAGCCTGGATGACAGAGCGAGACTCTGTCTCAAAAAAAAACCAAAAAACAAAAAACAAAAAAAAACAAAGAGCTTCTGCACAGCAAAATAAGCTACCATCAGAGTGAACAGGCAACCTACAGAATGGGAGAAAATTTTTGCAATCTACCTATCTGACAAAGGGCTAACATCCAGAATCTACAAAGAACTTAAACAAACTTACCAGAAAAAATCAAACAACACCGTCAAAAAGTGGGCAAAGGATATGAACAGACACTTTTCAAAAGAAGACATTTATGCAGCCAACAGACACATGAAAAAAGGCCCATCATCACTGGTCATCAGAGAAATGCAAATCAAAACCACAATAAGATACCATCTCACACCAGTTAGAATGGCAATCATTAAAAAGTCAGGAAACAACAGATGCTGGAGAGGATGTGGAGAAATAGGAATGCTTTTACACTGTTGGTGGGAGTTTAAACTAGTTTAACCATTGTGGAAGACAGTGTGGTGATTCCTCAAGGATCTAGAGCTAGAAATACCATTTGACCCAGCAATCCCATCACTGGATATATACCCAAAGGATGATAAAGCATGCTACTATAAAGACACATGCACACGTATGTTTATTGTGGCACTATTCACAATAGCAAAGACTTCAAACCCACCCAAATGTCCATCAATGATAGACTGGATTAAGAAAATGTGGCACATATACACCATGGAATACTATGCAGCCATAAAAAATGATGAGTTCATGTCCTTTGGAGGGACATGGATGAAGTTGGAAACCATCATTCTTAGCAAACTATTGCAGGGACAGAAATCCAAACACCACATGTTCTCACTCATAGGTGGGAATTGAACAATGAGAACACTTGGACACAGGGGAGGGAACATCACACACCAGGGCCTGTTGTGGAGTTGGGGGCTGGCGGAGGGATAGCATTAGGAGAAATACCTAATGTAAATGTCGAGTTAATGGGTGCAGCAAACCAACATGGCACATGTATACCTATGTAACAAACATGCACATTGTGCACATGTACCCTAGAACTTAAAGTATATAAAAAAAAATAAAAACAACTGCATGTTGTTTCAATTAAAAGCAATCTATTACAAACAACAGATTTCTCTAAAAAGTTTAACTTTAGGAAAATATTGACTCTGAAACCATTTTGGAATTTGATGGGCTATTTGAAAACATCTTGAAGATTCTGGTTTTTATATCATTATTAATTGTCTTTATGTTCCCCTGTTCCAGTTTGTATTCTGGATAATATCTGGTTCTATAGGCAAATTAATGTTTAAAACAAAATGATCATCTGAGATAAATGCTTAAGCTGTTCTTACTAAGGGGTTTATAGATACATATTTTTGAATATACAGGTGGAAATACATATTTTTACTACAAATAGAATAATTTATCTTAATTTGTGTATTTTTAAGTTATTCACTAAAAATATAAAGTAGAATTTGAGAGAAAAGAGAGAAATATGTTATAGTGTGCCCACTAGACAGAATTAACAGGAACAAAATATACTTACAAAACATTTAGAAAATAAATTATTAACTGTATTAGCATGAGAAGCTCACTGGTTCTTCTCAGCTTTTGCTCTGCAGAGATTATATTTAGCTATATTTTTATATACTATTCATTTTCAGTGGCTAGGCAGAAAGATAGATTGATCTTTTGTGGTTCATTTCAATAGTTTTCAAATTTAGCTTGGACATTTAATTAATTAGCCTTTGCATAATATTAATTGCTTGTATCTAGAAGAAATATTTTGTGTATGTGTTTGGCTGATAGGTTAATAACTGAATTGAGTAAATAACTGCTGTCACTACTGGCTCCAAAATGTGACATTCATATTTCCTTTTTTTTGAGACAGTCTCGCTCTGTCATCCAGGCTGGAGTGCAGTGGCACGATCTTGGCTCACTGTAACCTCCACCTCCCGAGTTCAAGCAATTCTCCTGCCTCAGCCTCCCGAGTAGCTAGGATTATAGGTGCCCGCCACCATGCCTGGCTAATTTTTGTATTTTTAGTAGAGACGGGGTTTCACTGTGTTGTCCAGGCTGGTCTCAAACTCCTGACCTTGTGATCTGTCGCTTCAGCCTCCCAAAGTGCTGGGATTACAGGTGTGAGCCACTGTGCCCGGCCCGTATTTGTATAATATATAATACTTGATTTTGGCTAAGTCTTTTCATGAAGAAAATGACAACACTGACACTTTGTCATTCCTCAGTATCTGTGGGGGATTGGTCCCAGGACCCCCTTCTGATACCAGAATCCACATATACTGAAGTCCCTGATAGAAAATGGCCATAGTATTTGCATATAACATATACACATCTTCCCATATCAATCATCTCCAGATAACTTATAATACCTAATACAATGTAAATGCTACATAAATAGTTGCATACTATATTGTTTAAGGAATAATGGCAAAAAATTCTGTGCATGTTCATTGTAGACACAACCATCCATTTCTTTTCTGAATATTTTCCATCTCTGGTTGTCTGGATTCACGAATGCAGAACCCATGGATACAGAATGCCAACTGTATAGTCATGAGGAAATAATCAGGAAAAAACAGTAATATTCTAAGTATTACTTAAATTTTGGTTTTGAATCCATTTTAACATTTTTTTCCTCCTGGAAAGATTTTATGACTAAATTTATCTGCAAATTGTAATCACCAAAATAGGAGTTAAGGATGCAAAATTGTTTGTTTTCATTGGTACTGCCAACATTTTGTTATTCCTGAGTTCAAACGGATACATTTAAAAGCCTCTGCAACCAAATGACTGTGACTTTTAGCTCAGTTTCTGTGAGAAAAAAAGACACTATTTTAAATCATTTTTATTTATTAAACACTAGCTCTCTACAAAAAGCAGCTATTATGATATTACAGGACTATAATGATCAACAAAACTGTAGTAGTTGTAATCTGGGCAATAAAACTTTAAGCATAAACTTTGGAAGCAGAGCCTGGGTCTAACCTGATAATACCACATGTATGCTGTGTGACCTTATACAGGTTACTTACTCTCTCTGAGGTAAAGTTTCTTATTCATAACATGATAGTAATTTTACATAAATAACCAGATTAAATGAGCAAATATATGTAAGGCATTAAATACATGGTAGCTTTACTATTTCATATATGCCTCAGAGATTCCTGGCTCTCAAGGCAGGAGGGAGAAAATATTAGTAACATTATTACTAATACCAGAAGGAAAAAAAAATACCAATAGCATGAAATTGAAACAAAATTTCCTAGCACTAAATTTTAAAAGAAAATGGTTTTTATATGAGATATATAGGAATATAGTACACATCAAATAATGTAGTGGAAAATACATATTTTTAGTGCAAGTAAAATAATTTTATGAAATCATAATGAAATAACTATTGGAAAACATATGAAAAGTACTGTGTCCTATTAAATATGCATACTTTTGTTTACACAAGACCACAAATTTATAGAAAATTTATTTCAAAAGCTGAGAGTTCAAGAAAATCAGACAGTATATAATATTTGACCTAAGACTATTCCACTGATAATACAAGCCGAATAGGAATTATTGTACACTGAATTGCAGGATCATAGCTGAGGAAGACAAAATTATTATGTCTGAATAGACCATTAAATGACCTCTGAATTCTTTGACATATAATTAAAAATAAAAGCATATTTATGCCCCAAAACTAATGCTTTGTTTAAATAAAAAAAGATGAATAAATTTACTAAAATAAATAAACAAGCTAACAGAAAAACAATCAAAGATGCAAAAAGATTGTGTTGTGGAAATGCAATTTGCTAAGCACTTGAAAAGATACATGGGCTGTAGTTATTGTCACATGGGCAGTTTTGAACTTTCATATATGCACCTAAACACAGACACACACACAACAGATATTAACACTATGTTCTTTTTTTTCTTGAGACTATAAAGGAGCTGTTTCTAAAAGATAAGAGAAGAATCCATCAAAAAGAAATGAACACACTGATACGGTTTGGATGTTTGACTCCCCTGCATCTCATGTTGAAATGTAATCCCTAGTATTGGAGGTGGGGCCTGGTGGGAGGTGCTTGGATCATGGGGGTGGACCCCTCGTGAATGGCTTAGCACCATCTCCTTGGTGATGAGAGATTTCTCACTCTGAGTTCTCAAGAGATCTAGATATTGAAAAGTGTGTGGCACCTCCCCCTCCCTCTTGCTCCTGCTCTGGCCATATAACGCACTGGCTCTCCCTTCACTTTCCACCATGATTGGAAGCTTCCTGAGGCCCTCATCAAGAGCAGATGCCAGCACCACACTTCCTGTACAGCCTGTAGAACCATGAACCAAGATAAAATATATTTTCTTTATAAATTACCCAGCCTCAGGCATTCCTTTGTAGCAATGCAAGAATGGCCTAATACACAAACCAAATATGGTTTTCCATATTTAATGGGAGGAATGGAAGGTGCGTTACTCTTTCTTGAAGAGTTTCTCTACATTAGACATTTTACTTCCAATATTTCTTTAAAAACCTTGCAACAAATCCATGAAATAGGTATTTTCATTCTGCTTTGTAGATAAAGAAACTGAGACTCAAGGAGATTAAAGAACTAGTCAACTATTATACAGAAGAGCCAGACTTCATTCCCAGGCATGGTTAAATTCATGCCCAGGTTTCTCTCCCTAGTTAAAACAAGATTTGTAATAACAGCAAAGGTAAATTCCATTAGACACTTTTGCTCAGCTTCTAGAATACAGGCAATCAAATAGTAGTACTGAATAAAGAATTATTGAATAAAACGATACGTCTATTTCAAAAGACAGACAAGTACAGTTGCCCCTTCTATATTTGGATATCAACTGAAGAGTTATTACAAATGAATTAAAGGATTTATAAATGTCTATGGTATTGTTGAAGGAAGAGAAAAAAATGCCTTTCAAACAATGTGCTAAATTATTTAATGCTGCTCAAATAGGCGCCTCTGTCCTTTAATGCAAATACACAAACACACACACACACACACACACACACACACACACACACACACACACACACACGGATACCACCATAGCTTCCTATTGCTTCTGTAATAGATTACGGCAAAATTAGTGGTTTAAAACAACACCAGTGTATTACTGTATAGTTTGTAGGTCCAAATGGGTCTCACTGGGCTAAAATTAAGACGTAGCAGGTCTGCATTTCTTTCTAGAGCCTCTAGGGCTGTATCTGTTTCCTTGTCTTTTCTAGCTTCTAGAAGCTGCCTGCTTGCATTCCTTAAGCTTAGTGTCCTTTCATCAGTCGAATCTAGCAATGGCCAGTGGATTCTTCTGTTGCATCAGTCTGACACTGACTGTCCTGCCTTCTTTCACTTATAAGGATTCTTGTAATTGCATTGAGTCCACCCAGATAGTCCAGAATAATCACCCTATATTAAATCCTTAATCCAATTACATCTGGGAAGTCCCTTATCTTATGTAAATTAATATCTTCCCAAATTTCAGAGATTAGGGCATAGATGTCTCAAGAGAAGGGGGCATCATTCTGCCTACAAGAGGCATATTATTGTGTTCTTTTCAATGTAAAATTCGAAGGATCTACTACATTTAAAAACAGAAATGTGTTAGGATGTTCCCAAATGACAAATTTAGGAAAAACAAAATTCTGTTTTAATACAAATATGGGAGCTCTCAAGCTCTTTTTATGTGCAAACAACATCACTGACAGAAAGCTTTAATGGTAATACTAATCACTGAGAAGTTTCTGGACCAAGTGTTTTCTGTGCATTATTTCAATTTACTCCTGTAATAACATTGTACATATTATTGATTGTCCACATTTTATCAATGAAGATAATGAGGCTTGGAGGGATTAAATAACATGTCTAAAATTACTCAACTAGGAGAAGGCATAAATAAGATTCAGACTGAACCCGTAACAACATATAGATGTAACTATTTCACTTTATGGCCTTAAATTTGAGTCATTTTTTAAAAACCTGAAGTAATCCTTGGATTTGTGATTTATGGGGAGTGGGGAGCAAGGCGGTTTATTTCTATAGTGAAAAAAATAATTTATTTGTATTTAGGTATTAGGTATTTAGGTATATACTTCTATGCCTAGGACCACAAGAAAAATGAACATTTCACTGGGAAATTTCTAAAACTTTCTAAGTTTTTATAAATACCCAGGAAGCCAAGAATATAGATTGCTAGAATGGGGACAGGGAAAGCAAACCTACTTCTAAACTGCATCAGGAAAATAATTTAAGGAATATGTAGATAATCTGGTTGGAATTAAAGCCTCCCAGTGGAAGTATTTCTATATGCCTTCATTTGAAAATATCTCTTTCGCTCACCTCATAACAGCTTGAGGCAAAGTAAAAACAGTATGGATACAAGATGAGAAATCCCATTTCTATAAAGTTGAGGACTTTTTCATCTTGCACAAGGCGGTTGAATACAAGGGCCTGCTTTCTCATGTATAAACTGTAGACAAACAATAAGATTACTGTGATGATTAAATGTCATCATAAACAGGTATATGTTTATAATCACCATACACCTATAAAACATTAGAATTGTCTATAAAAAGTGAAAAGTGTTATGGCATATATTCTATTTTCAAAACATTTGCATCTTTTAATAAAAATAGTGGATAAATTATGTAAAAGTGCATATAAGTGTATGTATAGATACTATATAAGTATATATTAGGATATTACAATATAATTGAAAAAGATATATAATTTAAAAAAATCAAAATCACGGGATGATAGATTATTTTAATTTTCTTCTTTTCGTATTTTATTTTTATTGTATATAATGATAAGTACTGCTTTTCTAATTTAAAATAGTTAATGTTAATGTTATGATGGAAGACTAGAAGTAGAGCGGAAACAGAAGTCATAAAGCATACGTACACGAAACTCTTGAACTTTATCTGTTCCTTTCTATGCCTTTTCTAAAATATCTCTTTCATCTAAAGAACCTGTGGAGATACTATGTGCAAATCTTCATTTTCTTTTCCTCCATCAACAAGCCCTGGCTTACGCTAGTAAAGCATACATTTTTTTTCCTCCTGAAATAAAATAAGAATTTTCCTGCTTGTTTGCGAAATATTTCCCTAGGTATATTGGATTTACTCGTGAAGATTCAACCAAGAAGCAATGAATAAAGAGAGAAGTGGCCTTGAAAAACACAGTCTAATTATTATTTATCTATATATCTTTGCTGTGTTCATTAGTCATATGGTATACAACATATTAAATAATTCATTTTTTGCACAAATTTTAGAAGTAATATAAGTGGAAGCAATTTAACTACAACTACTTAGTGTAATGAACATTTTAAATTGAGCTTTTGGAAAGTGCTTAATTAATACTTGTAAAATAGGGGTTCACAGTTCTTGCAATATGTCATTAAGTCCAAGCATTATCTTTAATCTTCTCCCAAACTTCTGAGAGGAGAAAATAGTTTTTGAAGCAACACAAATTGATAAACCTTCAAAAGTTGAGGTAATCAGCTACTTACATTTTTGAGCACTAGTCACAGTATAAATGGAAATTAAAATTCCATTATGACATAAAGTAAAAATTTAGCACTGTAAGTTTCAAGTAATATGCCACCCCTCTACACCAACCTTACCAAGCACTTCATTCAACCACATTTCAGCCCTAATATGACTTTTTTTTTATTTGCCTAAACAGTATCACTTCCTCCTTTATTTTGGCCTCAGAAGTCCATTTTCCCTCCTTGGTTTACTATTACCTCCACATTCCATGAGTCCTTAATAGAAATGCCAACTATTGTACTCTTCACTTCACCCCTGGCCAAGGATACACAGCTCAAGCCAGGCCAATCAGATTCTCTCACCTTCAGATGTGTGATCCTTGAACTGACTGCCAGTTGCTTGAAGGTCATTGACCTCAGCTTTCTTAATGGCACTGCCCAAAAAGGAATTGCTACTTGAGTTTCTAAGATTGCTGAAGCCTCTCCATGTTTTTGTTTTTCCTTAGACCCTATTCAATTTCTCTCTTGCTGTACAAGCCACCAAGTATTCTTCTGATATGATTCCTTTAGTATAAGCCAGTCAGAAGTGGTTTCTGCTGTTTCCAACTTACTAACCATGCCAAAAATAGTTTGGAATGACCAATTTAGTTCATAGCAGAGAATGGACACCATACCTCCCTATTTATGGAAAAGATACTGGATTTTTTCCTCCCAAAAGACATTATGAAATGTAGATTTTTCATTTTGTGTTGCAAAATTTAATCAAGTATTAAATTTTAGTATATTTTCTTTTTTATAATCATGGATTTTACATCATTTTAATTTTTTTTTGAAGAAAGTTGTCTTTGTTTATGTATATACATTATCCGGTTGTCAATCAAGGTAGGTGTATTCAAATCTAAAGCCCTCAGAAGATGCCTGGCTGCTTTTCTAACATGTCACAACCTACAATCCCTGGTAATACAGAGAATTCAGAGGAAAATATGAGATATCTCTCTGTACACTTATCTAAAGGAGTAGATGAAGCATATTTAGTATGTGCTTATTATAATTTTGTGTGGTTCGAACATATCACAGCTAGCAGTAGTAATAAAAAATACCTTTTTATAGAGTATTTCTTATGTTACAATAAGTTAAGTACTTTTCTGATATGATAGTCCTTAAAATTCTCAAATACCCTTATGAGGTGTAGACATATTTACCCTAAGAGAAAGTTGAAGATTATAAAGGTTAGAGAAGTTTGTAAAGATCAGAACTGGGTATGGAATTCAGGCCTGTCTGATACCAAAATCATGGATCTTAAGTAATTTCATATATACAATTTTTATGTATCTACTTTTTCTCTGCTTTTCTATTAAGGTAATTTTAAATGGGAACAACTTAATGGTTTAATAATCTGTGTTACATAGAATTTTCCCTAGTATAGATTTTTGATAAAATTTCTCCTTTACTGTTTGTCCTTTAAACTCAGGCATATCTGAGCATTTATGAAATATCATCAAATAGGGATCATTTAGAAGCAAAACTGAACCACTAAACTGGTTAAAGTATCCAACTTTCTTGTGTATTTTAATAAAACACAAATATAGGTCAGGTGTGGTGGCTCGTGCCTGTAATCCCAGCACTTTGGGAGGCTGGGGGTGGGTGGATCACGAGGTCGGGAGATCGAGACCATCCTGGCTAACACGGTGGAACCCCATCTCTACTAAAAATACAAAAAATAAGCCGGGCATGGTGGCGGGCACCTGTAGTCCCAGCTACTCAGGAGGCTGAGGCAGGAGAATGGTGTGAACGTGGGAGGTGGAGTTTGCAGTGAGCCAAGATCGTGCCACTGCACTCTAGCCTGGGTGACAGAGCAAGACTCCGTCTCAAAAAAACAAAACAAAACAAAACAAAACACAAATATAGCAATCTCTATTAAACAGTCTTGATGGCAAGCATATGCTGTAAGTAAATAACTAGTAACAGGCTTTCAAAATTGAAAGTGACAGCTTTTAAAATAATGATTTCCTCTAAACTGCTTGTCTGTAATTATTTTTAAGATATTACATAGGGGACTAATTAGGTACAAGATACCAAAAGGGATAAGAACAGGAACAAGATTGATTAATTGAACTTACGAAAGTTCCTGGGAATAAAAAATGAATTAGATTGGGAAGAACTGACTACGAGACTTGTGTTCTGAATAATGATTAAAAAGAATGACAAGCTAAATTTATGTTTCTTATCTCTGAATCATAAAATTCTGTTTTTGCTTTTGCATTGAAGCAATGTGTACATTAAATTGAAATGCATGCCTTATAAAATGTAAACATTAACAAAATTAGGGAATATTTAAGAATAAATTAAATTTTAAATTGTGAAGATAAAACCAAGAAATCTTCTACCTACTTAATTCCCATGTTTTCTTCCACATACAAGCCCTTTATTATTTATTTGGCACTAGCTATAGTTATTGTTGGCCCAAGTTAACTATTATCCAACATACTTTCTTTAGTCATAATTTTTCTGGAGTATCTGCAACATTTGATGTTTCAGCCATTTTTGACTTTTCTTGAAACCCTCTTCTCCTTTGGCTAACAGGTCATCACTACATAAATTGTACTCATTTTTTCCACTGGTCTCTTAAATGGCTATTCTTTTCCTCTCATTCACTAAATGGAAGAGTTTTTCTCAAACTCAGTCTTTCATTTTTCTCTCTTGACAGCCTCAGAAAGACAAATGAGATGGGGCCTCAAGGGACAATAATTTTTTTTTCTTTTGACAGCTTAATTTGGTCATTGTGAGAGGTTACAGCCTGCTGGCAGCCCTCGCAGCCCTCGCTTGATCTCAGCACCTCCTCAGCCTTGGCGCCCACTCTGGCCGCGCTTGAGGAGCCCTTCAGCCCGCGGCTGCACTGTGGGAGCCCCTCTCTGGGCTGGCCAAGGCCGGAGCCAGCTCCCTCTGCTTGCGGGGAGGTGTGGAGGGAGAGGCGCAGGCGGGAACCGGGGCTGCATGTGGCGCTCGCGAGCCAGCGTGAGTTCCGGTGGGCATGGGCTTGGTGGACTCCGCACTCAGAGCGGCCGGCTGGCACCGTGGGCCCCAGGCAGTGAGGGGCTTAGCACCCAGGCCAGCAGCTGCGGAGGGTGCACCGGGTCCCCCAGCAGTGCAGGCCTGCCAGTGCTGCACTCAAATTCTCACTGGGCCTCAGCTGCCTCCCTGCGGGGCAAGGCTTGGGACCTGCAGCCCGCCATGCTGGAGTGTCCCCCCGCCGTGGGCTCCTGTGCAGCCTGAGCCTCCCCAACGAGCACCACCCCCTGCTCTGTGGCACCTGGTCCCATCAACCGCCCAAGGGCTGAGGAGTGCGGGTGCACAGCGCCGGACTGGCGGGCAGCTCCGCCTGCGGCCCCAGTGCAGGATCCACTAGGTGAAGCCAGCTGGGCTCCTGAGTCTAGTGGGGACTTGGAGAACCTTTACGTTTAGCTAAGGGATTGTAAATACACTAATCAGCACTCTGTATCTAGCTCAAGGTTTGTAAATGCACCAATCAACACTCTGTATCTACCTAATCTGGTGGGGACTTGGAGAACCTTTATGTCTAGCTAAGGGACTGTAAATACACCAAATCAGCACTCTGTGTCTAGCTCAAGGTTTGTAAACACATCAATCAGTACCCTGTGTCTAGCTCAAGGTTTGTAAATGCACCAATCAGTGCTCTGGGGTTTTGGAGAACTTTTGCGTCTAGCTCAGGGATTGTAAACGCACCAATCAGCACCCTGTCAAAACAGACCAATCAGCTCTCTGTAAAACAGACCAATCAGCTCTCTGTAAAATGTACCAATCAGCAGGATGTGGGTGGGGCCACATGAGGGAATAAAAGCAGACTGCCCCAGCTAGCTGTGGCAACCAGCTGGGGTCCTCTTCCACACTGTGGAAGCTTCATTCTTTCACTCTTTGGAATAAATCTTGCTGCTGCTCACTCTTTGGTTCCACGCTGCCTTTATGAACTGTAACACTCACCGCGAAGGTCTGCAGCTTCACTCCTGAGGCCAGCGAGACCACGAACCCACTGGGTAGAATGAACAACTCCTGATGGGAGGAACGAATAACCCCAGACATGCCACCTTAAGAGCTGTAACGCTTACCGCGAAGGTCTGCAGTTTCACTCCTGAAGCCAGCGGGACCACGAACCCACCAGAAGGAAGAAACTCCGAACACGCCCGAACATCAGAAGGAAAGAACTCCAGACGCACCATCTTTTAGAACCCTAACACTCACCGCGAGGGTCCGCGGCTTCATTCTTGAAGTCAGTGAGACCAAGAACCCACCAATTCCAGACACAGTTGGATCTGAGTTAGCAGAATGGATCTAAACAGCATTTCTCCCTGATACAAGCTTCACTAGCTCATCTCCTCTTAAAGAGATCATTGCCTCGACAGGGAATCTCCTATCATTACACTGCCAGTGGATTTTTGTTTGCCTTTATTTCCATATTTCCTTTATATTTGTAGAGTAATAGTGTTTCCAGTCCCTGGTTTCTAGTCTTGAGCCCTTTCTATGGTGTGTTCAGATGTGTGCAAATTAAGTTTTTTTCTTTGTGCTTATGGGAGGTCAAGAGATACTTTTTCCTTTGATGCTTTCTTTGCCTGGTTTTCTCACTTAAGCCTCATTATTTTACATTTGTACCACGTGAGACTAGCGACGCTTGGCATAACAATTCCTTGACTTAAGTACTCATGCTATATGATTTTTTTTCAAAACCTACCTGTCAGTCTTGAACACCTTTGGAAGTCCAGTTCCTTGTTTCCTGCAAGTTTTTATTTAGATCTTATTCATGTCACCCAAGATCAAAAGTATAAAATCATCCTTGATTTCTTCCTTTCTCTTTATAACCAGTCATCAAGTCCTACCAACTTCTCTTTTGCAGTTGTCCTATATTTTCCTCCTCTCACTGGCCCAATCCTAGTTCTAGTTTGGGACTGGCCTATTTATCCAATTCTTTTTAGCATTCATTCTATCTCTCTCCAAGCTATTCTACATACTGAGCTAACTTTCTCATGTTAATTCCCTGCTTTAAGAAACAAAACAAAACAAAAAACTGCAAGCAGTTAATCTTCCTATCAGTATTTCAAATAGTTGTGAAGAAACAACAACAACAATAAAAACAGTAAATATTCAGATTTCCATTTTCCATTTCCAGATATCTTAATTAAGTAGGTTTGGAAAAGAGATCACAAAAATATGTATTATTAAACGAGTATCTCAGGTAATTATCACCAGGTAGTTCAAACAGTTGCTTTATGAGAAACACTATTTTATGATTCTTTTACTTATCTACTTCCTTTTTCTCTTCACTAACTTTTGTTTACCACTAGGGCAATTCACTGTCTTCTGAAGCCACTTTCAACCAATTGCCAATTAGAAGAATTTTAAATTTATACAACCAAGCTGCACCTCAACCACCTTGGGCACATGTTCTAGGATCTGAGGGCTGTGTCAAGGGCCATGGTCACTCATATTTGGCTCAGAATAAATTGCTTCAAATGTTTTGCAGAGTTCGAGGTTTTTCACTGACAAAGCTACTCTAATTTCAAATCATGCATGTCTATGTCTCTTGTATATCAATTAGTCATGTACTTCATGCTACTACTTATTGTTTATACCTATGTTATAGCTTCTCCACCAGGATAGAAACTTCTTTAAAGCGCTAATCTCACCTTGTGGATACGTATCCCCTTACAGCACTTAGAACAAATATGTGATATATATTTGTTAATTTAACATACTTTTCATTATCTCTGTAGCACAAAAATAATGTTTCAGGGGCCATGTGACAAAAAAACAGAATCATATTAGATGTGCCTCAAAAATAAAGGGAACAGAGTTGTTGAAAGTGAAATAATAACTTAAAAAGTACTAGTCTGTTTGGAAGTTTTGTTTATATGTAAATGCAAGTGTGTGTGTGTGTGTGTGTGTGAATGTTAACATTAGTCAAAGAGTAAGAAGAATTACAAGGGGACCCACAAAACCTTTACCAATCCATGTAATGTTGTCAAAGATAATAAGTAATATCTAATTTCAAAATCAAAGGAGCATTGTCCCAGTCATTCTTTACCACTTTTACCTTTTACCTTGGAATACACTAAATTCCATTGTTTGCCCATGTATCTATTATTTTATTACCACTTTATATGTTTAACTCATCAAATGTTCTTGCAAATCTGATACAATTCACAATTCACTGTGAAGAATTATAAAATTATACTGTTATTAATTAGTCCAGGTCAAAATCAGATCCATTTTGGACAAAATCAATCATGAAAATATATGGTTAATTATAATGTGATCTTTTATATAAACGATAAATATCAAAAAGGTGGAGTAGTACAACAATAGATATTATAACAGCGTTTCTTTGAAAGCATTAGAACATGGCATCAAACATAATTTACTAGACAAATTCTGTATTGTGCAGGAAAAGGAGTATTTACTATTTTCTGAAATACATCTTTCATCTTCATAGTGTTATCTATACTATTCTCTTCTTTGGGATCTATCTCACATTTTTATCTTCTCTGCTATCATCCACACAGCACCTGTGATAAAATCTGGGACAAAATAAAATTGAATAATACTACATCTTTTTATTTGAGGAGAACTCACAGGCCAGATGTATTTGTTCTTGTATGACAGGGACAATGAATGATTAAGCAAAGTCTCAAAAATGAGATGACCTTTAAACTGACCCTTGTAGAATAATTGAGTTGATCTGAAAAACAATGTAGAAAGGACATTTTAAAAAGAGAGACTTGTGCAAGCAAAGACATTTAGGTATAGACATTCCTTGAGGTTAAGTGAAAAGAATGCAATGAATATAGAAATTCAGAAAAGCAGTTACATAGGATATGCCCAGTAGAACTTCAGAGACTGGTGAAGTTGAGACAATGAAACCTTCTGAATGTTCACTCCTATGTACATCTTTTCTATATGGCACTTTTCCCCATATTTCTTTTTATTATGTAAGCATAATGCTGAATTTATTTTCGTCTATTTAATGAGAAGCTTTTTTTTTCTTCTTTCGATAGTCAACCAGTAAGATCAGCTACTTGTTAAAGTTGGGAAAATAAATATTTTACTAACAGAAAAAATTGCATTATCCATAAGTGATAAAAATAAATAAAAACCAATCTAATAACTATGCTAAATCTTTAGCAAGTTATTACTTTAAGTGCAGACCTGACCTTGATTATATTACAACAGAATGGGGATAGCCAATGCCTACAACCATAATCAATAATGAAGAATTAATTCTGATAATTTCCCTCATATCTATCAATGTTAAACTACATTTTATGCTTATGTTATTCATGTAGTTGCATCTGTTTTCTATTTCTGCAAAGGTTGTTATTTCTGTAACATAAGTGACTTAATAGATTCCAGTTCTTCTGTGCATAGTTTCATTTGCATTTAATAGGGCTTAGTGTGCCTCTACTGAAATAGGAGTTTTTCTAAAGCAAGAGGTTTAGAGTGACTGTTGTATCACTTTGGGGCCTCATTATTAATCAGTAATTAATACTCTCTGGAAAGCATAAGTTTGCCAAAATATTTGGCATTCAATGAATGGCATTTTGAATCCCAATTTAAATTTGGACTAAAAAGGCTTAGAAAAAAAATCTAAATTATTTACTATATTAATTATAAGTACGTTTCCAAGAATGAAGAAAACTGTATCTTCTCTCTTTAGTTCCAGGCTTATTCTTAGGTATAAGAAGGAGAACTATTTTATGCATTCCTAGATTCTTAAATATTTTAATTTTGCTTGCCCATGGCAGCAATATGTTTCCGTCATGAAATATATATTTTTTCTCATATATGCAGAAATGTAATATTTTTCTATTTTGAAAAGTCTGATTATATATCATTGTCATCAGTTCAGCAAACCAATTTGGGATCAATGGAAGAGCACTGCCTCAATGCATTTGGTTTCAGAAATGTATTAATAATAGTGTATACCATGTTTCAAATCACATTTCCAAGGAAACCTATTGTGCACAATGCAATTTTTTCTTGGACAGACAATTTTATGCTATGAGTCCACTGGAATACATTTTTGTTTCATTGAAAATATAATTTTTTCAACCATATATTTATATAAGATGCCTAAAATTTCTGAAAGAAAAAATGCTGTTAATGATATTATCGTGTTAATTTTCATAAACTCCTCTCCATATTTTAAAGTAATACATTATTAATATAGTTTCTAAAACAGTGGCCATATATTTGTACTATAAATATAAGGCTATGATCATTCCTGGGATTTTAGGACTAAAAAATAATATGTGACAGGCTACAATATTGTTACCCAAGTTATAGCAGGGATACTTTTGTTTTAAGTCAGTCAATCATAGGTAAAGAGTCATTAGCATTATTTGTCACAGACCTTCTGTTAGAAACCACAAAAGTCAGAAGAATGAAATGTATTACAAGCTTGTACCCTACAGCTAAAACATAAAATGAAATCAATAGCATTTGAGTTGTTTTACCCTCAGTTTAAAGTTTATCTTAATTGTCTTGTAATTTATTCCTGATTGAAAGTCTAGTTATTGAATCAAAACACAATGACATATTTATAGAAAGCTATGGCTTTCTTTTTTCATGTTTAAAGATAATTATAATTTTACCATAAAGCAAAAATTGCCACTTCAATTATGGAGTTACATAAATCAATCTGTGCTGTAAACTTGCATGTTACTGCTTTTGCTCTACATAAAAGAATGGGAATGACTCTGTGGCACAAATATTAACATAAGCTTCTATAGATGTTCTGGGTACAGGCTTCTTGAAGCTTCTTTGGGACCAAGTAACATTATATCCTAAAAACCCAGGAGAGTTTGAGTTTTTCTGCAAAGAAAGAGACTATGGATAGGAAGAAAAGATGACTCATAATTTTGAAATAATGTATTAGAAATAGCAACGCATTCGGCTGGGCGCGGTGGTTCACGCCTGTAATCCCAGCACTTTGGGAGGCCGAGGCGGGCAGATCACGAGGTCAGGAGATCGAGATCATCCTGGCTAACATGGTGAAACCTCGTCTCTACTACAAATAAAAAAAATTAGCCAGGCGTGGTGTCAGGCACCTGTAGTTCCAGCTACTCGGGAGGCTGAGGCAGGAGAATGGCATGAACCTGGGAGGCGGAGCTTGCAACGAGCTGAGACCGTGCCACTGTACTCCAGCCTGGGTGACAGAGTGAGACTCCCTCTCAAAAAAAAAAAAAAAAAAAAAAAAAAAAAGAAATAGCAACGCATTCACATTTGTCTTTCCTTTTGAAACTAGTCCAACAGTCCCACAGACAGTTGTTTTCAGATAAACACAGAGATTGGCTCTTCTGCTGCTAAAGCTTAAAACTTTTATTTGTTTTATCTGAGCTCTTTCCTCAGCAAAGGAGGACCTTCAGGCCTCTGAAAAAAGTTTCAGTTATTTGAAACTTACCAGATCACTGCCCCAGAGGCCTCCTTGCTCCTCCCCAGTTCTTGTTTTCTTACACTCTTACGTTTCTTCCCTACTACATAAACCCCCTAGCTTTAGTCAATCAGGGAGATGGATTTGAAACTGAACTCCCATCTCCTCAGCTTCAACACCCGATTAAAGCCTTCTTCCTTGGCAATACTTGTTTTCTCAGTAATTGGCTTTCTGTACAGCAAGCAGCAGGACCTAGACCAAACTCCTGGTGTTTCATTAACACTTTGTAAAAGGAAGATAATTATTTGATCAAATTAGT